>NC_000006.12:666060-817575 GCF_000001405.40 Homo sapiens | reverse complement strand
CTTTGCATCTGGACTGTGGTGCCCACAGGATCTGCCCATGTGATGGACATACACACACACACACACACACACACACACACACACACACACACACACACGTAGAGCCAGGGAAATCTGAGTGGGGTTGGCAGATTGCACCAGTGTCATTTTCCTGGTTGTGATATTGAACGTAGTTTTTCAAAATGTTACCACTGGGGGAAACTGGATGAAGGATATGTGGGATCTAACTGCATTATTTCTTACAACTGCATGTACAGTTATCTCAAAATAAAGTTTTTAAAAAATACTTTATAAAGACAAGATGTTAAAAGCGAAATGGAAAAGTCTATGAAAGAAAAGTAGATGGCCTAAAAATATCAAAGCTACCTAAAAACACTTTACAATACCCCACCTTCACTTTAATACATTAGAAAGCTTGCTGGGAGCTGAAATACACACATACACACACACACACACACACACACACACACACACAGAGACAGACTGTGTTCGAAGGCAGCAGGAAAAAGGTAGGTTTTAAAATGTGGGTTTTATTCTTATTCAGGTATGGTGAGGCCAGCAGATCAGAAGATGACTCGATGACTGTCATTGAGAAGACAGTTTGTTATTCACAGTTCCGAAGGGGAGAGGGCAGCACACATCACATGCAACACACCACACGGGCCACACAGGGAAGTGCAGGAGGCGGAGTGAGGGGAAATTGTGACATGAGCCTCTATTGTGGTATCAGCAGGAAGGAACAGAAGAGGCGGGCAAGCAGCTTTAGGACTGGGCAGTTTGCGTAATCTCAGTGGGCTTGGGCACACGGCTGTCTCTAGCTGCCTGTTACCTGGCCCTGGGATGATTAGGGCAGAGGGATAGTGGCCTGGAGTGTGAGAACCTATAAAGGAGGTGGCTGGAATGTGGACTCTGGGCTGGTCGGTTTGCAGTTAAAAGGTGCACTCACTTTACTGTCTCTAGGAACTAGTGAACCCTGGGAGAGGCCATCCCTTCCAGGGTCAGCAAGGCCCCAGATGTCAAAGCATCAGAATGAAAAGACGTGCTTGATAGGAAGCATCGTTGGCCGACACTGATGAGCAGCAGGCCTCCTTTCATTGGCTGGCTTTCACACGCTAACCAGGCAGGACAAAATACTGGAACAAGAAGCCTTCCTGAGGTTCCCAGCAAACATTTCTTCTTCTGCACTACGGAACTTATAACTCGTAGCACCTGATTTTTTTTTAACGCTAAGATCTTACACAGATATTGAAATCTTTTTTTTTTTTAGACGGAGTCTTGCTCTGTCACCAGGCTGGAGTGCAGTGGCTTGATCTCGGTTCACTGCCACCTCCGCCTCCTGGGTTCAAGTGATTCTCCTGCCTCAGCCTCCCAAGCAGCTGGGATTACAGGCAAGTGCCACCACGCCCAGCTAATTTTTGTATTTTTAGTAGAGACGAGGTTTCACCATGTTGGCCAGGATGGTCTCGATCTCTTGACCTCCCACCCGTCTCAACCTCCCAAAGTGCTGGTATTACAGGCGTGAGCCACCACGCCCAGCCTAGATATTTAAGTCTGTGTGTGTGTGTGTGTGTGTGTGTGTGTGTGCGTGTTATCTCCCTGCTCAGACAGTATGTTTCATAGGCCCAAACTCTCTCCATTATTTTTATAAAGTGATTAGAACTGTACAAACCCCCACAAAGACGTCTCACTAACTGTGGGATTATTGATGACTTGCAATCATTAGGATAGATCACTTGAAGGACTTTCCCTTTCCCTAGAAGTGGCAGTGAGTTTGCTCCAATCCACCAACACAAGTTCAAGCAACTATTCATTACCTTAGGCAACTGGCAATAGGATAGTAACTAGTGGGAGATTTATGTTCAGAGGAGAATGGCTCAAAGGTATGGACAAGAGACAAAACGGGGAGGGAAATGTTCTTTCCATCATCCATCCAAATTGCTGTCAAACTGTGACAACATTGCTCCATTTGCACACCAACATATCTGTTGTGTTCTACAAATACCCATGAGGTAACAAGTGCAGACCACTGGGGGTGCTGCTGGACACTCCCTCCTGGTCAGCACAGTGGCTGTGACCAGTGTGAGCTGCGTCATTAAGCCCTCAGGCCACACACATGCACAGAAATTAATGGCCTGGTGGTTTAGGTTTAGTTTGTTCTGAGGATCGTTTCAAATCTTTACTATTCTATATGGATTTAGTCTTAGAAAATTTGAACACTCATTTACCTAAACAACGCCTGTACAAGGTATTCACACATTTCCACAGGATTACTTCCCTTCAACAGCAAAATACTCTCATGGAACATTTATTTACCCAATCCTGAGGAACAAATCAGCACAGCCTCAAAAGACGGAGACATCATCATTTGTACTCTCTCCCAACACTACCCAAGACAACACCCAAAACCCCAGATCAACTTCCCTCCGGGAAGCAGTGGCAGATGAAGGAAGCTCCCTGCCCAGCTTCACATTTCCGTCTGGAAAATTGCCACTGCAGCTCGTGTTCTCAACCTAGACTGGAAAACGGTTCACTTGAACAGTTTTAAAAATACAAATGCTTACCCTCAAAAACCTCTGTGTAATTCCTTTAGGTGACCTGCGCGTCAGGATTTGCCAAGCTTCTCAGCAGTTCTAATATCCAGCCAAGGCTGAGAACCGCAGCCTGCTCTCCACCTGCGGCCCTCACTCCTTCCTGCCTTGGGAGGGAGGCTGAATGGTCAGATTGGTGAGTTTGGGGAAGAATGGAGCTGGCTCAGCTCAGCATTCCCCTCTGTTTTCAGATCTTTCTGCCTGCAGATCAGGGGGAAGTCTTGACCACATGGTTGGTTAAGGAGGCCAGCAGTTGGCCAGCAGTGCCTAGCCGTGGGTAGATACATCCACTATCAAGCCCATTTGGCCACAGATCAGTCTCTGTCCTACTCCTTCGGTAACATTTCCGACCTTTTAATTTCCACCTGGTGTCTCTGTCTTATTTCTCGGTTGGTTCCACCTGGTGTCTCTGTGTCTTATTTCTCAGGTGGTTTCAAGCACAGGAAGGAAAAGTATTTTTAAAAAGGGGCTTTTTTTGGCCTTCCTCAAAAGCTCAATAGTTATAACCAAGTCAAGAAAAACATAGTCAATACCTTACTCTTGGCATTTTCCCTTTACAGGACTGAATGGCTATAGTAATAGCAACATTATCATATAATACTTTCAAATAGGAATCTTAGGCTGTCTGATTTAAATAAACAGAAGTTAATTTTAGAAGTTGCCAGTTCTCCACCATTTGAAGTGGAGACATCTGGAGTAACAAAGTTAGCTTTAAAGCCCGTATTTAAGTTTTGTAATTCCTACAAGTATAAAATATATTAGAATTTTTAAAACTAAGCGAAAGAAATTAAGTTACTATGCCTAAAAATCCCCAGCTGAACTCTGTTCCTATAATCCTTAAATACCGCAGGCTGCCCGGTTAAAGGCAACAGTGGCTGGTACCCTGCATTGCACCCTGGCCTCTGCCTATTTTCAAGAGGCGAATCTTCATACAAAGCCAGAGACAGACAGCAAAATACACCTCTTTCAGACTCTTTTTTTTTTTTTTTTTTTGAGACAGAGTTTTGCTCTGTCCCCCAGGCTGGAGTGCAATGGTGCGATCTTGGCTTACTGCAACCTCCACCTCCCCAGTTCAAGCTGTTCTCTTGCCTCAGCCTCTGGAGTAGCTGGGACTACAGGCACGTGCCACCACGCCCAGCTAACTTTTTGTATCTTTAGTACAGCTGGTGTTTCACCATGTTGGCCAGGCTGGTCTCGAGCTCCTGGCCTCAAGTGATCTGCCCTCCTCGGCCTCCCAAAGTGCTGGGATTACAGGCGTGGGCCAGGTTTCCGCTTCTCCTTTCACTTCATCAGAAATCACAATTTTCATCACCAATGAGTCACTAAGCCAAGTACCTTTTATTTAACAAAGCAACTTGCAACCCTTCAAGAACTACAACAGGGACCAACATGGACCAACAGGGACCAACATGGACCAACATGGACCAACATGGACCAACACAGCAGCTCTACAGGCTCTTGAAGGGCTACAGGTCGCTTTGTTAAATAAAAGGTGTTTGGCTTTAGTGTGTCAAATTTAGGTGCAAGGAACAGAAACCTAACTCAATGAGCTCAGATAAGTGGCAGTTTATTATGTGCACAACTTCACATAATGTAAGGGGAAAATGGAACTAAATCAGGATAGCCACAGGGATCTCAGCTTTAGGAGTTCATGGATTTTAGGGGTTGAAGGCACCCAACAAATAAATCTGCTTGTTAGTCTTTACTCGATGAAAAATTTCAACACATACCCAGGTTCATAGCTAACCTGAAGAGAGGCAGAGATAAAATGACTATTTTCATATTGGACAAAAGCTGGATCAGAGCCTACTGTTTGCATATGGGGCCAAATGGCCTTGCTAATATAATCATCATTACTTATTAAAGCATTTTACTTTTACCATTATAAATATGCATTTACACCTTAGCGACTGTTACAATTTCAACCCAGAGGGCACATAAAGAGATTGCTTTACTTCAAGTTACCTGTCTGAATGGTACATATATATGAAAGTGAATATTCAGATAGTAACAATAAAGATGAATGGCTTGCCTCATTTTTAATACATAATCTATTAGGCATGATGACCATCTATATAATTGATCACAAAGGAGATCAGAAATGTCAGAAATGGCACTGAATAGGCATCGTCTATTTGGTGTTCCACCCAAACCAAACTTAAAGACAGATTTTATCTCAAGCTTGAGGCCTAACCTCCCTAAATAAAAAGATAGACAGGGGCCAGGCGTGGTGGTTCATGCCTGTCATCCCAGCACTTTGGGAGGCCTAGGCAGGCCGATCACAAGGTCAAAAGATCGAGACCATCCTGGCCAACATGGTGAAACCCCATGTCTACTAAAAATACAAAAATTAGCTGGGTGTGGTGGCACACGCCTGTAGTCCCAGCTGCTTGGGAGGCTGAGGCAGGAGAATCGCTTGAACCTGGGAGGCAGAGGTTGCAGTGAGCCGAGATCATGCCATTGCACTCCAGCCTGGGCAACAGAGTGAGACTTCATCTCACAAACAAACAAACAAACAACAACAACAACAAAGATAGGTAGAGAATAGGCTGATGGATAGACCCATAGATAAACACTCTAGTAATGTAGAGCCTCTGAGTTATCTGGAGGCCTCCTCCTTCAGACCCCTGAAATTTGGTCATTTCATCATGGGCTGTAAATAGAAGGTAGGTAGGGTCAAAGAAAAAATATAAAATCCATCAGATTCTGGCTTACTGGTATTCAGCACTTCTTGCAAAATATTGGAAGGCCAGATAATTAAATAAAAACTAAAATTAGAGATTTCATGGTCAATTGTGGATTTCAGTGATTCTTATTTCCTTTCATTGTAATAAAAATGAAATTGGTTGTATAAGTGCACACCTGGGTTTGGTTATAAGATTTTAAATCTTCCCCACTTGGAAGTACTTCACAACAATCTTTTAAACAATATGACTAATATGCTTTGCTTGAAACTCTTGGCATCTGTTCCTGGAGGATAAAAATTTAACTATTCTGGCTCATATGCTAAGAAGTAGCAGAGTCCATTCAGAGTGCTGCTGAGCAGTCCAGAGGACCCAAGAATCACGAACGTAAAAGGTCTTCATTATCTGCTGTGCAATTCTAGATTGTGTCCAGGTTGCTACAGATTTAGGGGAGAGGAGGAGTTCAACACAAACAGAAGAATTTCAATACAAACAATACAAACCATTGTTTTGATGTATTTCAAATCACCTTAATAGGTGCTTTAAAATTCTTCCCCTAGGAGAAAATTGCTGTGCCTTTTTATGCATCTCATCTTTTGGGTATCCTACCCCCTTCTCTATTAAAGGGCTTGAATCTTGACCCTAGCCTCAGATACTGGCCATCAACACCTGATCAAACAGGCTCTCACACCAACCAGATAGTATATTCAAGTGCTGCCTTCCTCAGTTAAAGGTGAAGGTGGAATGAAAGGCATTTGGCAAGTGCTGTCCAATAGCCCAGCATGTGTGGTATACACAGTCACACTTTTTCAGATTCAAAATCCATGACACACTCCAAGACAGTTTTATATTTAATGCTTATGTGAACAATCCTCAGATATACTGCATATGCTGTAATCAAAATCACATGACGACTGCTTTCCAAAATACCAATGATATATCTACAAAGTATTCCCATGTGGAATGGCTTACAGTCATCATGAAGTTTCTCCATTTCAAGGATTCAGGCCTTCATGGAGTGGAGAGTGTGATTTGACTTGGGAAGCTGTGTAACATCAGAATATTTACAGGAAGTAACACAACATCACCTGATACCTTCATATTGCAGAGTAAGATTCACAAATTAGCCTGCCATTACTCTAAAATGTTAAAGTCATAGAGGCCGTTGTTGAACTTTCTGGTAGCCAGAGAAAGTCTCTACCAATTTATGCTATACCCATTCTGTAGATTTCTTTATTAACCATCAATAAGCAAATGTATGCACAATAAAGATGAATGTTGGGTGATTTTATATTCTCCAGCATGGACCAACACAACCAGTTTGAAAGTTAGTCAATGCCCAACATTTTAGAAAGAGTTACCTCAGGCTGAAAATGAAAATGAAATGAAAATGAATTTCGTTTTTCCAGAGTACTCAACAATGGCTGACTATAGGGAAGAATGGCATGCTGAAAGTTGAATAGGCCCTAGGAGAATGCAATGATTTCTCCGCTTTGGAAATTGGCACATAAAAATTCTAAATAAATTTAGGCAATAACTACTATTACGATGGTGAAATTTTATATTTCCTTATCTTTTGTATTTTCTTAGAAATTTGATGCATCAAAATCATATTGTATTTCCTGACGCATTTTTTGAGAAACATCTGTTGATTTGCTGATGGGAATTACATCAACCTATGGTGACATTCATTCACTCATTGCAAATACATATTGCCCCTTGACATAAAGAGGATGGGGAGAAAAGTTGCTCCTTATTCTGACTCTGATCTCATTTGTGAAAGGTAACTGTGTGCAGTAATTCTGCAATCTCGAAAGATGTGACAGTTATACTTTGCACCCAATTATTTGTGGCCCTCCTATTAGAGGATAATAGATCCTTAGTGACTGTCATGTAACTTGTGATGCCTTCCTGTGAGAGAAGGATGTCCCTGTGGCCTTTGATGCTTAGGCACGGCCCAGGACTTGCTTTAGGCGACAGAGCATGGCATACATCTTATCCGAGGTGAACTCTAAGAACTGCTCTATGATTCCCCTCTGCCTGTCTTTTCTTCTCTCATGAGAATGGTATGTTTCCAGTGAAGCTATTCCTCAAACTTACATCCTGGAATGAAAACCTTCAGACAACATATAATGAGAGTGAGAAATAAATCTTTGTTGTTTTAAGCCACTGAAATTTAGACGTTATTGGTAACTGCAGAATAAACTAAAGAAGTTGAATATGGTAGTCCACTCTTATACAAAGTTTTGCTTTTTGTTGCTTCAGTTACCCAAGATAAACAAAGAAGGCTGAGTACAGTAAAAGAAAGAAATTCTGAGAGAGAGATACAACATTCACATAACTTTTATTACAATGTACCATCCTAATTGTTCTACTTTATCTTTAGCTATTGCTGTTCGTTTCTTACCATGCCTAATTTATAAACTAAACTTTATCATAGGTATGTATGTACAGGAAAAAACATAGTCTACACAGGGTTTGATACTGTTGTTGGTCTCAGGCATTCACTGGGGGTCTTGGAGTGTATCCCTCACGGATAATGGGGGATGACTGGATACAAAGCAGTGAGGCTGAAGATGAGGAGCCCACACAGTAAGGATGGAAGCTCACAGGCAGAGGAAGTGTGGCTCCCTAGTGACACTGCCAAGCTCCCATTCCAGCCTTTGAACTACCTACCCCTAGAATTGGCAATATATGAGACAATTAATTAAACTTCACTAGTACTTAAGCCTTTCCCCTTCTTCCTTCACATCTGCCACGCTGGCAGGGGAGTCTTGCCCCTGCTTCCATGTGCCGGCCCACTCCCTTCTTACCTTCTTGGGCCGTTTCTCCATCAGTTGCCATCCCTCCCTGGACTGGGTCCTCCATGCTTGCATTTGAGTGTCATCAGTCACCATCTCTTCCTGAAAGTCTACATTGACCTGTCAACAGCTGCCTGATTCTCAGTCTGCATCTGGTTTCCTACACAGGTGGGAAATCATCCACAGTATCCTATGCTTAACTTGTCTTAACACTTAGCATACTTTATCCTCATTGTCTGTCTTCTTGCTTGTGTTCAATATTACATGTAGGTTTTAATCTGTTTTTTCATGATTCTTTCATCAATACCTGTTCAGAGAAAATTAAGAATATTTGGTAGAGAGTAAGCTCCGAACTGATAGTATCTACCAAATTATCTAGAAAATGACAGGAGCTTAGTAAATGTTTCATTTTGTTTTTCTGTTTTTTGTTTTTGTTGTTTTTGTTTGTTTTTGTTTGTTTGTTTGTTTGGGACAGAGTCTCACTGTGTCTCCAGACTGGAGTGCAGTGGGGTGACCTCGGCTCACTGCAACCTCTGCCTCCTGGGTTCAAGCGATTCTCCTGCCTCAGCCTCCCAAGTAGCTGGGACTACAGGTGCACACCACCATGCCCAACTAATTTTTGTATTTTTAGTAGAGACAAGGTTTCTCCATGTTGGCCAGGATGGTCTCGATCTCCTGACCTGGTGATCTGCCCGCCTCGGCCTCCCAGAGTGCTGGGATTACAGGAGTGAGCCACCGCGCCTAGCCTAGGGGCTTAGTAAATGTTTATTGTAAAATACATGTATCCCTGAAGGATGAAGGGAAGCAAGTATCTAGTTCTAGTACAAGGAGGTTGTAGGATAGGCAAATAATGGAGGTTGAATTGAAATGAGAGGTTGTGGTCTGCTCATAGAGAGCAATGAAAGTCCTGGTAAGGTGTGTGTTCTTCCATCTTCAGGCAATGGGATACCATTCCAAGGTTTCAAGCAAGGAAAATCATATTTCATCCTGCATCTTAGAAAGAGCACTGATGACAATGAAGGACATGAACAGGGAAAGGAATTGGCTGAAGATTATGTTTCTATCATCAGGCTAA
Source organism: Homo sapiens (assembly GCF_000001405.40). Taxonomy (NCBI): domain Eukaryota; kingdom Metazoa; phylum Chordata; class Mammalia; order Primates; family Hominidae; genus Homo; species Homo sapiens. The sequence goes on along the minus strand of NC_000006.12, from coordinate 808,427 downwards.
GACATTCATTAAACTAGGCTGGTAGTATAGATTTTTAAAAAGAAGACATGATATAAGATACATTTAAGAGACAGAATTGACACAGCTAAAGACATCAGCTAGTTGTATAAAGAGAGAGGGAAGAGTTGAAGACGAGGCAGGGGTTTCTTGCTTGCCGGTGGTGGTGTTAATCAAGGCCAGAGAACAGGAGTCATCCTAAAGGATAATGGCATCACTCGCAGATGCACTGAGACTGAGGCTCGGCCAGTGCTGGGGCTGGAAGTGCAGAGAGCTGGTAATTAGGAAATGGCAGTGAGTGCTCCCCTGAGGAGAAACTGAGGGAGCAGAAAGATAATCCATTCAAGGACACAAGGCTGGGTGGTGCCTGTGATTTAGAGTAGCTCAGGCAGAGGCACCAACTGAAACACAAGAAGTGGCCGGAAATCAAGAAGTAAGAACATGTGGCTTCACAGAACCCAAGGGCAAGAGAGCTTCAGGTAGGAAAGATAGCACTTTCAATGCTTCAAATAAAGGAAAACATTGACAATGAGTCTCAGGACTCTCTCACATATAGAATTATTTTAAAATTAATGTTCAGCATTCCTAGAATCAGATAAATTGATCCTGGGATAATAGATAAGACTGGAAAAAATAAATTAATATAAAGGTGTATTAATATAAGGTTATCTGTAAACAGAAGATCTTGATTTCTAGTAATAAATGTTTACACGAACTGACTACATAACTTTACATAAATCACCTAATCCCTCTAGGGTCTCTGTTCATCATCTGAAAAACGGACTAAGTAGATTCAATAATCATCTGACCACCACATCGAGCTCTCAGAGTCTACGTATGTCCTGTCAAACTAAAGTTTTCAGTAAATTTGTCCTTTTGACTTGAAAGCACAACATTGAATATGTATGTCCACTCTGACTCCTTTATAACTTCATTCTGTAGAGCTGAAGAAGATTTTTTGGTATTAGTCACTAATTTTCTTATGAAAATTCCCAGCTCTCAAGCAATGGCCAAATCAAAGCTTAAGTTTGAAAACCATAATAAGATACATCTGTGCTTTTAAAAATTGAGAGATGCTTATGAATGTCCTTTTAAAGCCCCGTTCCTAAATCACAAAAGTATTTCTGCAAAGAAGGGTGTGGTGTGACATTTATTCACTACATTTAGATATTATTTCTTCCATACAAATAGCATTAATGTATCCAAAAGGCCCAATTATGGTAGGTAAATATTTCCATAAAGAACATCTGGCTTTTTGGCAAGATGGTTTCGCTGATAGTTATTCCGTTTCTCTGACATGCTTCATGCTCTGATGGGGCAGATACATCTATTCTTAGGCTGCTGAATGCTTTTCCCTTTCACCTAGAACGCAATTCTCTTTGCCTTGTTTTCTCTCATTCTTACTCTGGTTCTGTTCCGGGCTTAGCAGCAGTGCCAGACTTGAGAGGCAGCTGCTCACTCTCTCTCACTTGTCACACTTTCATCCATACATTTCCTTTATCTCTAAGTTTTATTTTATGCATGAACGAGTCTAAAACCATCATATATCAATTCAGGTCTGTTATTTCTAAGCCCTAGTTATGCTCAACCCTTGTCTGTGGCTGTAGGTCGATTATGAATCTGGTTCTGGGCACCAAAAGGGCAGAGAGACCACATGTTGACATCCCCCTTACCCACTCTCAACAAGAAACATCCCAGGTTGAGTATAAAAATCTTTAAGCCAATCTGTAGAGCTGAGCACATCTGGGTTTGATGCAGGCTGAAAGTTGGGCCTAGGGTTTCTACTCCATGTGTCTCCTGGTTCTGGGACACAGGCTGAAGGAGGTAGCACCAGTGGGGACCTGTGGTTCTCTGATGATCTCGAGAAGCTCAGCCCAGCAATGCAAGTGGAGGTAACACCTCCTTGGACATGGCCAATGCCAGCCCACTCATGTTCCACTGGGTGGGGAGGAATCAATATTTGTTAGCAATCATACATTTTATCACACTATTTACAATGGGAGTGGAGGAAACAAAACTGTCATCATACGTAGATGATACATTAGTTTCATGGAAAAGCCAAAAGAACATAAGTGAATACTAGCCAGATTCCTGGCTCTGAGATTGCTACACAAAAAAATCAACTATATTTCTGTACAACAACAACAACATTTTAAGATAACCACCATCTTCATTAGCAGCAGAAACAACAAAAATGCACCAAGGTGTGGGAGTGATAATTCAAATATATTAAACTTGGCATAACTCAAGTGTGGACCAACAGAAAGGACAGCATCTTAGCACTGGGAAGGGCCCCTGCAGTGATGGCCGTTATCCCTTTGGCTGCTGGATCATTGGGTGGCACAAGAGAGCCTCAAGAATGTGGCTTTGCAGGGCACTCAGTGGCTCTGTGTAGTGGTTACCAGCATATTTTTAACTTAAAATCATCAATAGATATTTTTCTAACAAAATCTAAAATTGTTTCCTTTCCTTTGCTGGAAAAATATACATTGAAGACTGTTTGTACAAGCGACCACTAAAAATAAAAAGACATAAAATGCATAACTTCCAAACATGTAAAGAAATATTTTATATCTCCAAAATCCATGGAGAAGACTGACTGATTTTGTCAATGTTTCTTCTAGAAAACTCTCATTCTGAGGCTTACACTCTCCTAAAAGTAAACAGGTCAGCAAGGAATTCCCATCTCTTGCTCTCTAGATTCTTTTTCTGATTAGAAGAGAAAGAAAAAGTATCTCCCCAGTCCCTTCCTTCTGCAAGCTGTGCCCTTCCAAAATCTTAGGCAGTTGTATTTTTTTTTTTGAGACTGAGTCTCACTCTGTCACTCAGGCTGGAGTACAGTGGCGCGATCTCGGCTCACTGCAAGCTCCGCCTCCCAGGTTCACACCGTTCTCCTGCCTCAGCCTCCCAAGCAGCTGGGACTACAGGCACCCGTCACCACCCCTGGCAGATTTTCTGTATTTTTAGTAGAGACAGGGTTTCACGGGGTTAGCCAGGATGGTCTCGATCTCTTGACCTCTTGATCCACCCGCCTCAGCCTCCCAAAGTGCTGGGATTACAGGGGTGAGCCACCGCGCCCAGCCAATCTTAGGCAGTTTTGTGTTGAACTGATAATGTGTTTGACTTTTGAACATCCTTTCTCCCCTATATAATCTAACTCAGTTTTGGTAATATTCTTCCTATATTTCCACCTGGACCAATGAATGCATGGGAAAGTTTTGAGAGGGTCCTTCGGGGAAAGAGAAAGCAATACTTTTTCTTAATATGAGCAAGGAAACTTGTTGCCCAGTTGTGACTGGTGGCCATCTTGACGCCATGAGGGAAGCTAATCAGGGGAAAATGCAGTGGGTAGATGAATGCGGCACAGAGCCGAGCGTGTCATGGAGCACTCAGCGTGGGCAGACAGGAGGAGTCAAAGGGCTTCTCATGCAGCTATGGGTCGCCGAGGAAAATCCTTCTCCAAGCCAACTTCTCCTAGAGCTCAGTGGCAGGACTGGGTCAATGCCCAGCCATGGCTGGCAAAGAGAAACCAAGTTGCCAGGATAGAGCAATCATAGCTTATGCCTTGGTGCCAGGCATGCTGCCTTCCCTGTGACGGTTCACTTCTGTTAACAAAGAAGGAGGAAGGCCGGCTGTGGAGTGGACGAACAGTCTCAGCCTCAGGAGACTGACCAGGCCCCAGTACTCCTAGGACTCCTCTCATCTGTCCTGGCATCATGGTGAGCGCCCCTAACCAACCGTCTCGCTGGGTCCCCAAGGATGCCTACACTAAAGTAAGCAAAAAGTTTAGTGAAAATAAAACACAAATTAGAGTTGGCTGAACCTGAGTTGTTTAGTAATTCTTAGCTAGCAGCGCTTCAGCGCCATGCTGCCCAGAAGCTCCACATCTCCAGGCCATGCTCCTCCTTCCCCCGCAGATGGCCGGCCGGAACGCCTGGCACGCAGCGTCCCTTCCAGTGTGTGATGAATATGAAGGCTAAGAATCATGATGGTATGAACCCTGGATCTCATACAAAAATGCCTTGTCTGCGACACACTCACTAAAGGGCACTGAAGCATTTGGTCAGAAACATGGAGGCACTGGTGGCTGTGGCCTACACAATGCCCGGCACTGCAGTCGGCCCCTTCGATGGTATTCTCATGCCTCCAGTGTTTACCCTTCCTGAGCCATCTCACCAGCAGACCCTAAGAACAGCTCACAGAGTGTTTCTCTCACTGGCAACATTAAACTTCCCATGAATTTCTCCAGATTCTGACAGCAACCTTCCTGTTCCAGTGGTGGCCACATCATTGCAGAAGTTAGCTCCATGTTAGAAGCAATGAATGTGGAATACGGACTGTTGAAAACAGAGTTTGTGATGTGTCAGCCTTGAGAAAAACGACACAAAATTAAATGAAAAAAAAAAGGTATGAAGTAAAAGTGATGAAAACAAACATAGCAAAAGAAACTCTCAATTGCTGAACAACACTTGGACATTTTCTGGTGAAGTTGTTTATCTTCAAGAGAAAGTAAAGAATCCTATGATGATTCAGGCAGCAGTTGGCCTCGTGCAAGGGAGAAGATTCAGGTTGACTCTGCTTTTTCCATGTCTACAGTCAGAGCCAGAAGACAATGAGGAGAAAGCTGTGCTGTGGCGCGGCGGGACACGGCATAGAGTTCACCGAGGGTCGACCCAAGCCTAAGGTGCTGTCTAACTACAGCTACGGGAGTGAAGGCAAGTGCTGCAAGACCTCGACTTGGAAGAAAGAGTCATGTCACTAGCTAAGATTGGAAGCTGAAAATAAGCCATGTGAAAGTGTAGAGTTGACCTAATTTCTCCATATTTCAAACTGGTTCTGTTGAATTATCAATAAACAGGGTCGAGAGGAAAGAAAGAAAGAGAGAGTGAGAGAGAGAAAGAGAGAGAAAAAGAAAGAAAGAAAGAGAAAGAAAGAAAGAAGAAAGAAAGAGAGAAGTAGAAGAAAAAGAAGGACGGAAGAAGTTGGTCCATATCTACAGGAATGGAAGGACAACAATAAGAGATAGGTGTCAGATAGATAGATAGATAGATAGATAGATAGATAATAGATGATGGATGGATAGATACATAGATAATATATAGAAGATGGATGGATAGATGATAGATAAATGGATAGAAGATGAATGGTCAGGTGATGGATATGTAGATACACAGGTGCACAGATGATGGAAGATGAATGGGTAGATGACAGATGGATAGATAGATAATGGATAGATAGGTGGATAGATATGAAATTGTAAGTGGAAAAGGCAAAGTGCAGGGCGATAGACATAGCATGATGTCATTTCTGTAAAGACAAAATTAGACTTTCTATGTGCACGGAAATGAGTCTGGAACAATATACAACAAATGGTTTCAAACTGCTAATGGTTGCTTCCTCTAGAAATTGGAATTAGGCCAGTATGCAAAACATGTTCACATTTATCTTTATATGCTTATACCTTCATGTGTATTTGAACTTTTTCAGCCTAAAGTTCCAAAAGTTACGTACCCTCCTGTAACAGCATATGATGATACTGGTCCGCGTAAGGCTTGTCTCTCACTTCATGGATGTATGGACACGTGATTGCCTTCTGTGTCCATCTGTCATCCCATTCCCTATAGCCGACTTTTCTAATGGGTTTAAAATAGATCCGTCCTCGTACTGTTTTTTTTTTTCTTTTTTTTTTAGATAGAGTCTTGCTCTATCGCCAGGCTGGAGTGCAGTAGTGCAATTTCAGCTCACTGCAATCTCTGCTTACTGCAATCTCCACCTCCCAGTTTCAAGCGATTCTCCTGCCTCAACCTCCCGAGCAGCTGGGATTACAGGAGTACCACCACACCCAGCTATTCTTTGTATTTTTAGTATAGATGGGGTTTCACCATGTTGGCCAGGCTGGTCTCGATCTCCTGACCTCATGATCCACCCACCTCGGCCTTCCAAAGTGCTGGGATTATAGGCGTGAGCCACCGCACCCAGCCATGCTGATGTATTTTTAGTTTATGTAAATGGTACTGTGTTACACACTCCATTTCTGCCTTTCAAACTCAGCACCGTGCCTTCCTGCTGTCCACACTGCAATGCCTGCAGCTTGCGGATTACCTCTAACTGCCCATGCGCTCCCTGCATGTTACCCGTCCCCTCACCCAGGAACGGATGTCTGAGTCCCCACTCCCTACCTCCTCAAACAATGTCACCAGAAAAAAAGCCTCACACCTGTTTCTGATGGAGGTAGGTGTGATTTCTTTGGTATAGGAGCCCAGGAGCAGAACTGCTGTGTAAATGAGTACATGCATATTTAATTTAACTAGGCACTGGCAGACATTTCACATTTACAAGAAAATACTAAAAAGAGCATTAATATGTTTTTAAATTAAAGAAAACACTTTAAATTTCTGGCAAAAGAAAAAAGACTTGATTTATGGAAACTTTTAAAAAAAATTAAGCTATCATTCACTCTTTACCACAAAACACTCTTGCCATATACTACAAAAATGAAAATGTTCTCTAGTGAATCACAATTTTAGAAAGAGAATATATTTCTCTTTCTCAGGGCTTCCTGTTTCCTGGTGGGGAAGGTGGTGAGAATTTGAATTCAGGTTACACCCAGTGTGACCCAGGAGAGCTCAGTTTTGGTACCCGGGGCGTTACCTGAGGACGTCGACTGGACCTAGGGGATGAGAGATTTATCCAGGTCATATGCAGTGGTGAAGAGTGCTGAATTAGAACATATTTGGCATCAGTATATGCACAATTGTCTCAAGTTGTTTTATAGTAAAAAAGCTAAATACCAGACCGGCTGGTTCGAAACCAGACACCTGGCAGCTCCAAAAAATTCAATTTTCTTCCTTAAAAAAAAAATCACACCTACAGGTATTGTATGTATGTCAACTTCCAAGTTACATTAGGGCAAGTTGTGGCACAAAGAATTGAAAAATAAAATAGAAAACAGATAATACCGCCCTGGCTGAATGCCACTGTGAGAGGAATCTTATGAAAGATTAGACAGTGTTGAAAATCACAATTGTTTTACAATTTGTAACATAAACATACTGCATAACATCCTGTGAGAAAAAATTATTTCTGTAGTTCTATTTCATGAACTTATTCATAGTTAAACTATTTCTGCTTCTGAATGGTTCCCCTAATCCTGGCTGCAAAATGTCAGTGTGTCTATTCTTTTTGCTGTCTCTGAGCATAGATTCTGTTTCTGCCAACGAGGACACCTCAGGCTGATGCCTAAAGAGGTCAGCTGACTTGCCCCAGTGCCTCAGTGACTTCGTTTTTCCTAAATCCCCTTTTCAATTAGGCTCCACGGATGGAGCTTCTTTGTCTACTTCAGGCTCAAGACAAGCATGTTCCCCTAACTCTCACCACCCGGGCGTGACGGGAGGTAGAATGTGTATGTGTGTACGTGTGTCTGCACACATTGATCTGCCTGTGTACGGTCTACATTTTCTTTCATTCACTCATTCACTCATCAACTCATTCCTTCCATGGTTTAGGCTCCACTCACTTCACAAAACCTGGAAGGCAGAATAAGAAGATGAAAGGATGCGGCCAGGCACGGTGACTCCTGCCTGTAATTCCAGCACTTTGGGAGGCCGAGGTGGGCAGATCACCTGAGCTCAGGAGTTCGAGACCAGCCTGGCCAACATGGTGAAACCCCATCTCTACTAAAAATACAAAAATTAGCCAGGCTTAGTGGTGAGCTCCTGTAATCCCAGCTACTCGGGAGGCTGAGGCAGGAGAATCCCTTGAACCCAGGAGGTGGAGGCTGCGGTAAGCCAAGATCACACCATTGCACTCCAGCCTGGACAACAAGAGCGAGACTCCATCTCAAAAAAAAAAAAAAAAAAAAAAAAAAGACAAAAGGATGCAACCAGCAATTGCCACTCAGCCTACTTCATATCAAAGATGAGCTTTATACAAACACCTATCCAACGAATCAGACACAACTTCAAGTTTCTATTTTGCCACCTCTTCATCATGATGACAGAATTCCAAGTCTCTTTCCTGTATGAACGATTAGGAATCAGAGGTTAGAACTCAAATCTAAGCATATTCTCAATTCTTAACCCATAGAGCATCATAAGCTTTTCACTGCTCAAAGAGTGAATTTTGATTACTTTTTCCTGACAAATGTATCCTGGAATCCCAGGCAGCAAGTGCCTAACGCAGATATGCTTGGAACCCTAAAGTAACAGGATATGTTTAACATGCCATCCTGCTGGCCTTATTATTAAAGGAAGCAGCCTCCTGTGGCCCTGTTCTTTGTACTAAAATGCCTTCACTGTATAGCTCTGGAGATGATGCCTCCTGATCTATGACACCGGACTTCCCGTCTCCAGAGACACTGCTCTCCATGAGCCCACAAATGTGGGTGCTTGGTCTCTAGATGAGACAGATGAGCAGTTTGTAGCCTGGACAGGGAACGAGTGCTGGGTGGTGACCTTCCCTTCCAGCCTAAGCCAACACACCCTGGCTCTTGAGATGTGAACCACTTGTTAAGGGAGTTAAATGGCCTGAGCTCCGGATGGGTGGCCCTGGACAACTAGAGAGGCAACCCTGTGTTGTAAGAGACATCAAGCTGTGACAACATGAAACGAGTTCGCCACTCAAAAGCAGTATAGCAGCCTTTAGTTCCTGGGAAAATGAGACCATGTCCTCCATGCAGAATCAGCATGATAAAAGCACTTGTCTTATTAGGTGGGAAGATGACCAGATAGCCTCAAATTACTTCCCCAGTTCCAGGATTCTACCTACAAATAGAGGATGCCCCACACATTCAAGGAGCTGAAATGTTTAACATCAGAGAAATAAGCCTCAAGAGAGATGGGCAGACATGACCGCTGCAGTCAGACTCTATGAATTAAAGAAAAGCAAACCAACACACATGCAAACACGTGAGCAAGGAAGACTGTTTCCCCAATGCTCTTGCACGTTTTCTACTGTGACACTTTCGGGGGTTTTCAACCCTCTTTTCGCATTTTTGGATACCCATAGTAAGCAATAAGACAGCGAAAAGAAAAGATCAATGCTTCACGGAGCTGAGTTAAAACTAGCAAAGTAAAAAACGTCAAGACAAATTTCACCTACCAGCATGCTGTGAGGGCTAGAGAGTATTGTGGGATTGTACAAGATTTGGGAGAACCAGACAGATGACTTTTTGTTTTGATGTCTTTAAAGTATTTATCTTGAAGAGGAAAAGAAAACAAATGTCTTAGTATGTTACAATTTTTGGCTGTATTAAAGATCCAGCGAAATGAGAGAATTCAAATGTGAACCACAAAAAAATCTTTCTTCATAAAGGGAGAGGTAAAAGAGTAGAAAGTTAATCAATTTGGAATTTTTCTCTCTCTAATTCAAAACACGTTTCTCTAAAAATGTTCCTATGTCTGAAAAATACATATCACTACTTTTCTAAATTTAAAAATGCTGGTTTAAAAAGTAAAGGGGCACAGTTAAGCTATGTATTTATTAAATATATATGAATCTGACTGCTTGCTAGATCATTTATTACATATAAAGTTCCAATTTGGGAAATTCTTATAAGTTTAATTAGGTCTTTTTAATAAAAAACTAATTTTATTAAAACCTTAAAATGTAAGTAATGTTTTATTCAGACTTCCAAATTCAAGTAATTTAGCAAAAGGTTCAAACATCTGCTTCCAAAGCAAGCTTAGCAAAAGTTAGACAAGAAAATTGTTTCTCCATCCTCACTCAGATAACATGTAAATGTACAGAGCTTGCTGGAAATGAACTGGAAGGCTCCTAGGTTTCCAGTAAGTCACAAATAAGCAAACAGCCTGAGAAGAGTCAATGGAATTTGTAGATCTAAAACAGCACCTTAGGGAGAAAGCTCAGCCCCACATTTTACAAACAGGAAAAATGAATGGAGAAAGGTTAAGCACCTGCCCAGCGGCAGCTTGCAGGCCCCTGGCGGAGTCGGGCTCGGAGCCTGGAGCTCCACACCTTCTGAGGGCCGTCCTTTTCCAAGGATCTTCTCCTGGTTGACTGCTGTCCCTTCCAGAGCTCCCAATAAACTGTTTGGGGTAAATTAATCTATCTTTATTTGAAGTGAAGTCATTGACAAAAACGTAAATCATTAAGACATATTGTAATTTATGATCCCCAAACCCATCAACACTCATAGGCAGATAAACCTGGAGATTTCCACATACAGATTTCTAAAGTGCCGTATGTGTGAAGCCATTGTTGAAACAGTTCTAGTGAGATGTCGTTTTTATAATACGCAATTCACTTAAAGCGTTCAATTCAGTGACTTTTAGTATATTGACAGAGTCGTGCATCCATCACCACAATCAATTTCAGAATATTTATTACCCAAAAGAAGCCCTAAGCCCCTCAGCCATCACCTCCATTCAAACCTCCTTTCCACCTAGCCCCCAGCCCTGGGCACCCACTACCCCCATCCCCATCGACTTGCCTCTTCAGGACATTTTGTATAAATGGGAACATACAATATATGTGGCCTTTGTAACTGATCCAAGTCATTTTTTAAAGACCTAAAACAAGCATTTATTCAAATCTATATTCTTTTTTATTTTTCAGTAATCTAGCTGACTTTTCAGTGAGTTCAAACTTCATGTTTCCCAGTTTTGAAGATGTGGTTGTAATGTTGTCCTCGGGAGCGGATAAACGTTTGGCTGTACTGGAAGGTGCTCTCTGAAAAGAAATGAACTGTTCCACAGCCATTGTGTATGCTTTTGTGACCCCTGCTGGCAGGATGTAATAGTGTGCTTTCAAAATCAGTTCCTTGAAATGCTTTTCCTATCTTAAATTTTAAAATAATGAATAGAGCACGTGACTATTAATGGGTATAAAATGTAATTAAAGTTGGTTGCTATGTGTATGTATCCTGTTCTTTTCCTAGAAATTATAAAGCTGCAGGCTGTTCCTAAAGCTGTTGTTAAAACCCTGTCCAAAGTGCTACTTACTTAACACTTTCCATTTTTCACAAGGAAAATGCTTAATCTGATAGCATTTCATCTCAATCCTAACAAAACCATAAAATCTGAAAGCTGTTTTATTACTGTTTAGAAGAATAAAATGCATGAGATGAAGATTTTATTAAAACAATGTGTGAAGGCTACTAAGAGAAAAAAGAAATATAAAAATACAAAACATGTATAAATAACAATAAAGTCCCTCTGAGGCTTAGAGGCTTGTGAAAATTATTTTTAGTACAATTATTTAACATATCTATTGCTCTTTGAGTATTTCTCAATTTTAAAGTGGGTTTAAAATTGAAACTTTGATATTTACTAGTTTTTCCTAATCTTAAATTTCCTATTTTAATTTAAAATAGAGGAGACAGAAAAAGAAAATAAATTCATAAATAGTTTTCTATGCCCTTCATAATACAACAGATTAGTGCTTCCAGTTTTATAAACATTAAAATTATTTCTGCTTTGTTAATAAGATTCCATAATCCTAGAACTAGTGCTTTAAAAAATCTATGCTTAAAATTATCCGTAGAGATTTAACTGTTTTTTAAAACCATTGTCACCAGAAATGGTTTTTATCTTGCAGAAACTTTGAGAACTCTTCAAAAGCGAATGTTTGATTTAACACACATTACTGTTAATTTATTTCCTGGTTAAAAAAAGAAAAAAGAAGAAGAAATAACATTTACAGCAGATACATGAGTTTATTTTATTAGCCCTTCAGTTATTTTACAATTATTTGTATGTTCTGGGTAAGTTTACACAGAGCACCTTGTGCTATTTTATGGAGATTTTAAAACATATTCATGTACCTCCTAAGGCAAAAAAAAAAAGTGTTTAATCAGTTTATGTATACATAAATAAACTTTTTGAGTTAAAGGATTCAAATTGGGTTACCGTACTCATTTTTATGTTTTTAATAAAATGTCAAAGCAGAAATGTATAGATAAGATATGGATAACAAATCATTGCTTTCTGAAATGCAGAGTTTACATGTTTATGTGTGTATGTGGTTATAAACATAGGCAACACACAATGAGGAAAGAAACTTTTCCTTGGATCTGCACGTCAGTAAGGCTTTGGCTTTGAAGGCTGACAAAGAATAACCAGGATCAGAAAGCACATCTAGGAACTTCGAACCTGGAGATCTGATCTGCTGTTAGAAGCAAGAAGGAAGGGATGAGGTAGTCTTCATTCAGCATTGGAGAAGAGAGCAAATCGTTTTCAGGATTATCAGAACTCATGTGGTCTATGGAAAACTGAAATGAAGGAGGACCTATATGGATTATTACTCCCATATTTAGTATGTTTCAATACTCACGATTGCAGGTACCTCTGCAGAATGTACAGATTCACACATCTTAATATTTAAAAAAAATTCTGAGTAAGAGTCCCTCTTCTTTATCATTACCTGGAAGATTAATCCAAGCTTTGCTTCTTAAATAAAACAGCTTTAATTTCTCATATATTTCAAACCTATGTAGACTATTAGCTTCCCTCATTTTTTGTATTTTTTTAAACATTCACTTAATTGTAGGTGACCTTTCTCCTTCTGATATTGGATCCTACTTTTACCTCGTTGAAAAGTCAAAGAGAAACATAAAACATAGGCAAAATGTGTCATAAGCATTTCTTACTTGTTTTTTACAATTTGTAAGCAGTTAGCTCAACCCATTTTTCCTATCCAAAGAAAAGGAATACAAAATTGGAGAATCATTTACTCTCTTGGCCTGGTGAGGCTAAATGATAGTTTCTAGTTGTAAGGGGCTAATGAGAATGGAAGACCTTGTCTTAAAGGAGTTCTACCTTTTCTCAGAAAGTGGCCAATTACCGTTTACGGCCCCAGCACTCTTTGATACTAATCAGTTAATTCAGTCTCCTGGCCCTCAGATATATTGGTGTTTACTCTATTAAGCAGCACACATTTCAATACGGTGAAACACATGTTTGGCTGAAATCGGATCCTTCTGCTCATCAGCTCCCCTATGCAGAGGTTAGGAAGACAAGACAAAAGACTGTTGGCAACAAACACAGCCAAATTAAGAGCAGTTTCCAAGTGCATTTCCTTAAAGCAGTAGGGATGTTAGAAATCGGTAGGGGAGAGTTTTTGGTGAAGCAAGTTTAAAAGAGACAGACTCCGGCGGAACATCTGGCAGCATGTGCCCCCCTTCAAGCCCCCACCCTCCTGCGGCTGGCCAGCCGTGTGCTCCAGCGATAGCCCCAATATAATTTCATTGCAGCAGGAAATCTGGAGCCACATCCTGACACTGACAAGGTAATGAGGCACTGCCAGACGCAGTGAGAGTCTCTTGTATCTGCACTGGGGTTTTATGGTTGCAGCTTCCATTTATTATCAGTCTAGATTTGTTACCTGCTTCTATGTCTTGGACAGGAATCCATCACTAGGAGCATTGAAACAGGGATGCTGAAACAGATGGCAGTCTAAGCATGTCTCCACTCTGGGGGGCTGTGTTCCCAGGGGTAACTGGGGAGATTCCTAACGTGGTCGTGATTAAATCTCCCGTTTTATACAATAGACATTTTTGCATTTTGTACTGAACTGATGAAATATGTGAAGGTGATATTTCATGAAAACCCTCTAAGAATATTTAAAATTTATCTTATATGCACATGAATTTAAAAGCCTTGTATGCCATTACAATCACATATATTAAGAAACCTATTTTTTACTACAAAATGCAAAGTTCGAACCTCAAAGTTTCATTATCTTACTCTTTCCTCTCTATGGCACCAGAGGATTGGGGACTGACAATACTTCAGGCAATAGGTCCAATGCAGGGCTCAGAGACTTCTCCTCCCTGCTGTCCCCTTAACAGATAAATAACATGTGAAGGAAAGGACCTTTGAAAAAGAAAACTCCTTGAGGCTGGTGCAGAGGCTCCCGTGAAGATGTCATCCTCAGGCAGATTAAACCATCATCTCCTAAAATCGGATCTACCCACTTTGAGACTCGCTGGACTTGCAGGGTCATCTCAGCACCGCCCCCAACCCCGTGCCTGTCCAGTGGATCACCCACCCCCAATTGTACACAGTTTCCCAAAGAAAGGAGGGTTATCATAGAGGAACACAAATAAAGCCACCATCCCAAAAACCATTTGGCAACTGCCTGCATTCAGTGGGCATCTAATCAAATCTGCTACTAATTTGTGAAAAAGTCCAGTTATTGGGGCATATAAACCCAGAACCTTATCATTACATTCTGTTTACACACTCCAGGTCATGAATGCACCTCACAAATTCATGCTACATGCGTCCTACACATATAATAAATAATCCTCTAACTATATGAATTGATGTGCACATATATGCAAAAACTGATGCAATTTATTCATTTCAGTTTTGTTAAAAGTCACAAAATAATTTAGAAATACCATTTTTAAAGAAAATAAGCAGCATATGACCAGATGTAAGGGTCCAGAGATATTCTAAAGTAAACTATGGGAGGTAAACATTGAATAAACTCTTTCTATTAAATAAACTAATACATGAACAAAAAATGGAATATGAGTAATGGGCAAAATATTTAAGTAAATGTTACCCATAAAAGGCTTTCAAACTTCGTATTAACTCCTAGATTCTATGATCTACAAATGCCTCATTTTTAAGTGGTAAAACTTACAAATGAAATACAAAAAAAAAAAAATAAGTGAGAAAGAAATTACATCAGTTGCCATTGGTGCCATTTTAACAGCGGAGTTGAAATTGAATGTCATTTATTACACACGTGCTGGCGCTCCTTAAGCCTGTGCGGAGGACTAAAACGCCCCGCAGGGATGCTCCGATCGGGATGTGGTGGTGGGAAAATAAAACCCCTGTTTCCAGCCGTCGACCATCCTGTGGCATGAAACTCCTGGAGCGAATCTTGCTTTTGCGTTTCTATGCACAGCGTTGCCTTGGTTTACATTAGTTCTTTGTCTGCATCTCACAGTCTGTTTATTCTTCCATTTCTCCTCTGAAGCAGAGTTGGGACATTTGCGAGAGCAGAGCGTGGGGTCAGGCACTTGTGCTTGGTTTGGGTCTGGAAGGAGATGCCTGCTGAGGCGCTGGCCTGGGGCTGGGAGCCTTTGGAAGGAGGCAGGATGGAGGAGTCCGACGGCTTCTCAGCTTCTCCTGTTCTTCCCCGGCTTCCTGGTGAGCCTTCTTTATTTGGTGAGAAGTGAAATTTCAGACAGAACTTCAGGCACATATTAAAATGTACGTACAGAAACAAATCCCAAAAAGCCAAATATAAATACGTTTGGGATCATAATTATTTTGGATTGTTACCGTGATTTCTTTTCTTGTCTTGGTTAAGAAATAAAGAGATAATGTGCTGCAATGGATGAAAACAGACAGATTTTCCTCGTAACTTATTTTTCTTTCCAAGAAAATAAAATATCGTAAGTGGGCACATTGTTCAGGAACGCCGCACTTCCTTCCCGAAATGAAAACAAATTACTGTCTCCTCATTGTACCATGACCAAGCCTCTGTCAAGAGCTTTCAGAATGTGTCTTCTCTCCAAAGCCTGTTGGTGAAATCCACACTGTTTCAAATACTACAGTATTTCTGGTGGTTTTGAGTGAGGCTGTGACCATTTCCATGGTAACCCTCAGCCTTTCTGTCACTACCAATTTGCTGAGAGGAACTGAAATGAGCTGAAACTTCCACGTCAGCCCTCAGCGAAAGCAGATCAATGCACCCGCCTGAACCGGAGAATGACAAAGCACGACAAGGGTCGGGAAGAGCTGCATGACCATATTTTTGGCAATCGTGTAGTTGTCAAGGAAATAGTGCAAAACCCGAAGGAAAAGCAGGTCTCATCAGTAGGTCCAATTCAATGGAAGACCTTGAGCAGAAAATGGAGTCAGCGGAATATAGTGCAGTCTTGTGAAGAATTAGGCCAAGACTTTCTGGACCAGGGTGTTGATAGCTCACCTGCGGATTTCCGCCACACACACAATCTACATCTTTTTATGCCGACTTTGTATTCCTCTGTGCATTGTAGCAACAGCTACCAGGTCTTGGCAGCAATTTAGACCAGCCTCTCTGCTAGAGAGGCTGCTTTTCATACAATAACTCTAATTTTTACAATAAGCAAGATGTCATTGTCCCATTTTACAGATGAGACAGTCGCCTTCTCAATTGCACACAATCGTGCCAGTTCTGGCTCACCCCGGCCTGTCTATTGCAGCAACGTTGCATCGTGCAGTGGTGAAATTATAAGCAGTAGCCCAGATCGCTAGCGTAAAGTGGTTTCAAATCCATAGCACACAACCCTAATCAGAGGGTATAACACACCCATGACCGCAAAACCTGTTGTGGGTGAGCAGGAGTCGTTTTTAATGTTGAAGGAATGCTCCCCTTAGACTGTTGTCTGTCAAATGCTTGCACTCTGCTAAATAGTATACACACTCAGGGTGTTGAGAAGAGTAAGTGAGACAATGCAGGTGTCCTCCTGACATCGTGAGGACCCAGAAGAGCCACCCTCTGGCCTGTGAGGGCCTGCTTTAAGGCTACGTTAAGGACAGGAAAGTCAATGAAAAATGCATGAAGACGCACATAGGCTTCTCTTAGAAGACCGGCATGAGGAGCCTCTTCCACGGGCATAGGGACATTCTAGAATTAGCAAGCAGCACAAATTGTTTTTCTTTTTCTTTTTTTTTTTTGAGATGGAGTTTCACTCTTGTTGCCCAGGCTGCTGGAGTGCAGTGGCATGATCTCGGCTCACCAAAACCTCCGCTTCCTGGGTTCAAGAGATTCTCCTACCTCAGCCTCCAGAGTAGCTGGGATTACAGGCATGCGCCACCGCACCTGGCTAATTTTTTGTATTTTTGGTAGAGACGGGGTTTCTCCATGTTGGTCTCCAACTCCCAACCTCAAGTGATCCGCCCGCCTCGGCCTCCTAAAGTGCTGGGATTACAGGTGTGAGCCACTGCGCCCGGCCGCACAAACTCTTTTTCTAGCATTGAGCATTCAGCCACTTTCCACACAAATAACTGTTTTTCAGCCCCCAAGAGCATTTTGCAGGCCATCCATGACATCCAGAAAAGTTTTGCTCTGTTAACCATTTAATCACCTAATACTTGCTTGGAAAAAGATATTTCATATCCAAGAACTTCTTTCTGCTGTTTTATGAAACATTTTCTTTTAGAACTGAGGTTCTGAGAGGTGAAGCCAACTGGACTTCCTGGGTGGAGTGGGGATTTGGAGAACTTTTCTGTCTTACAAGAGGATTGTAAAATGCACCAATCACTCTGTAGCTAGGACTGTAAAATGCACCAATCAGTGTTCTGTAGCTAGCAAGGGGATTGTAAAATGCACCAATCAGCGCTCTGCAAAATGCACCAATCAGCGCTCTGCAAAATGCACCAATCAGCACTCTGTAAAATGCACCAATCAGCAGGAGTCGAAAAGTAGCCAATCACAGGGAGGATTGAAAAAAGGGCACTCTGATAGGATGATAGGACAAAAACGGAACATGGGCAGGGACCAATAAGGGTATAAAAGCTTGCCACCCCCCGGCAGCCAACACCTCGAACTCCCTGGGTTCTCTCCCATACCGTGAAAGCTTTATTCTTTTTGCTTTTCACAATAACTCTCGTTGCTGCTCACGCTTTGGATCCGTGCCATTTTTAAGAGCTGTAACACTCACCGTGAAGGTTTGGGGCTCCGTTGTTGAAGTCACTGAGACCACGAACCCACTGGAAGGAACCAGTTCTATTACCAGGCAGAATAAAACATTTTTTGAATTTTAGTTCCATCTTAAAATGGTTATAAAGTGAATGGTCTTGAAACTGCCTGAATATTAAAATCACTGGCTCTGGTTCAGATTGATTGAAAAAGAGATGAATTGAGGAGGAGATGGAAGAAAAGGGGGCAGATGGAATTAGGTCTTGCTCACTCCTGCCTTAATTGTGTGTCCTGAAAACATGTTCCTTTACTCTCCTGCCCTTGGCTTCCTCATCTGTAAAATGAAGGTGGTTTGCTACGTTGATCCCAATACTTGAATTTCTGAATCCTATGATTCCCAGTGAACATCATCCCAGGCCCAAGTTTGACACCCACGTGGGGCTGCCAGCAGCTCCGGAGGAAACCCTAAGTAGAGCGAGTGAGTGGCAAAATGGGTTGGATCCAAATGCTTGGATCAGATGTGAAGCATCTCCGCGTTTCAGCTGCTCCCAGGCCTCACTCGTCCACTTGACGGATTTTCTTCCAGTAGTCTGCAGAGTTAAAGCGGACAGGACACGAGTGACAGTTTCTAACATAACCATCGGTCTGCGGCACCTTCCGTGAACATTTGGAAGTTGCAAATGCATCAGGGGCTGTTCCCCCTCCACCCTTTTCCCTCTCCAATTAAAATAGGTTAGCAGGGGAAAAATACGAAAAAGACTTTGACTTTACTGACAACGCTTTATTTATTTTATGTAAAGAATGATCTGAAGAAAATATTTTTAACACATTCACATTTGTTAATCTTCAAAGGTGAGCACTTGAGTTTTGGGTTTTATTATTTTCAGTATTTGTATTCTTTAAAAATTTTCCAATAGAAAAGACAGCAATAGTCATACAGGCAGGGTCTCACTCTGTCACCCAGGTGTGATCTCAGCTCACTGCAACCTCCGCCTCCCAGTCTCAAGCAATCCTCCCACCTCAGCTTTCCAAGCAGCTGAGACCACAAGTGCGCATCACCACGCCTGGCTAATTTTTGGTACTTTTTGTAGAGATGGGGTTTTGCCATGTTGCCCAGGCTGGTCTCAAACTCTTGAGCTCAAGCGATCTGCCCACCTTGGCCTCCCAAAGTGCTGGGATTACAGGCATGAGCCACCACACCCGGCCAGTGAGAGATCTCAAACACACAATATTAAAACAAGAAATTTAAGATTTCCCGAGCAACTTAACAATCTTAGAAAATTTGAAATCAGCTAAGTGTTTTATTTTCTCCATATCTAAATTTGTCAATAAAGTGAATATTTCCCTGGAAAAAAGAAGGAAGAATTCAGAAATCCCAAGGTAGTGTTCATAAATTAATATTTTGGTTTTTCATATCAGCCATAATGGCTACAAAATGTCTGTAATCCCTCAAATTCTCCATTGTCAATCTCATTATTGCCAAACCAACTACATCAAGATAACGTCACATTGAGATAAATATAATTCAATTGATTTATGTTTGCACTAGTTAGATAATTTCAGGTTGCAGGGAAATCAATACTCATAGTTTAACAATTATTTGTTATAATCATCATATTAACTTTTATACAAAATGTGCAGACATATTCAAATGCCCTTCAATTGTACAAGAAAGTTTTTTGAAAACATTCAACCTGCATTGAAAGTGATTTTAAAGTTGTGCACATGCGATATAATTTATTAACTCTAAAAGGAAAATGTCAAATCACAAAGCTAAAGAAAAAGTATAGTGGTTCATATTGGCATGTACCGAGTAACAAAATAGAGCACGTTTGCTGGAAAATTAGGTCTAATGCTAGGCACTGACACTGCGAGAGCAAATAACACCATCATATCTAGCAAATACTGGGAACTAAAAAGCCATATTATAAAATAACTTTGACTCTTTGAGTGTGAAACATGAAAGGCAAATATAGCAGTAAAACTTTTACAAATGAGCACCAAAATAAAATTGTGAATGAACAAATTCCTGGACAGGATTCAGTATATGTAAAGCAAAAATATATATATATTTACAAAAAACAGCAAAAAAAAAAAAACAGTTTTGAAGGAAGTATAATGTCATGCTTCTGCATGATTGAAAGCAAATGCAACCCTAAAATTAATACAAATGGGGAAAGAGAATAAAAAATCCTGTATTCCAACAGAAACTGGTATTTCAATTACGATCACAGCTACATATATAATATGCAGAATAAGTGTGTTTTTTAAAGTTATAAAAATTTCTATCTTTATGCCAAAAGAATGGAAAACAGTCCTCTTCAAAAGCAGGGGACCCACCCTCCTGGAAATCCACTCTTGCTGTGAGACTCCAGATGACTCCCTTTCATCATCATGGGCTTCTCCTGATTGTATCCTTAGCCATCACTACCTTCTCACAATAAATCTTTCTCCATAGAGCTGGGGACATTGCTAATTCCACATGTTGAAGGGATTTCACCACTACCTCTAGATCTTCAGCATTCCATGACGTCGTAACCGCTCACCCACATGCCTGACAAAGACGGCCACTTCCTTTTTCCTGTGGGGGGCACCCCACAAGCCCAGGCTCGCACCCACCTGTTCACTCCTTCCTGAGTCCCTTAAATCGCATTTAGAGAATCACATCTGATGCCTACAACTGGCTTCAGCTTGTCCTGAATTACCGTGTATCCGCCACACACTTGGCACAGACTACCAGAGCTGAGGTCTTAGAAAACACAACAGGTTGCCTGGGCCTCTCTTTACCTGTTAAATATTTCACTCCATCCTCATCCTCCCCCCATTTCACATGAGCATGAGCATACGTTTCATTTGAGGTTCTTTTCTGGTACAATATTTCTTCTCATAATTAGAAATGATGGTCTTTCAATAAATCAGAACAACACACTAACACACCTCTGCAGCGTGCGTCCTCATGCCCCGCAGTTTTTAACTGCACAGACTGGGGTCTCTCGGAGTTCACTTTTTTTATTTTCTTGCTTTTAGGATGTAAGTAAGTAGCAAAAGAACTTTGGCCATGTTTACTATCTGTGAAAGGCCAAAATGCAGGTCCTAGCATCATATATTTTTGTTGTTAAAGTTGATAATTTTAGCTTACTATGTACCTGGTATATTTTGTGCTCAGTATAGCTCAATTCTCCTTACTAATCTGTAGCAACAAAAGGGTGGCTCCATCTGTAAATTGCTACCAATTGTTTCCAGTACGTTTTCATTTCAACAGTTACTAAATTCTCCAGGTTTCTCTTATCTCATATTCACATGTGTAGAATGTTGTGGTTGTGGCCACGAAGATTCTTTGTCTTGTTTGATTATAGCTCCCAGCACTTTGCTTCTCTTTTTGATTTCTAGAATCTTTATTATGTATTCAGGTGGGCGGGGACACAATTCCACTCAGCAGCCCGGTTGCTGATTTCCTTTACCGAATCCATTAACAGGGGGCATCTGCCTAATATAATACCAATATCTCCACTGATTTTGAGCCACAGGTTATGTTAACAATAAACTTTAAAATAAAATGTTCTACCTATCAACATGTGCTCTGCTCTTTTTCAAAAAAAAAAAAAATAAACAAAAAGCCACAACAAATGTGAGGCCCCATCTTTGTTAAATTGTGTGTGATACTTCACTCCACCGCTAGAAGGCAGCAGTATGGCTGCGCCCATAATCCGCTCTTGCCAATGGTAGACCTGGGGACCTGCCTTACTATTATTATGATTGTTTCAATAGTTCTTGGGAAAAGGGTGGTTTGTTGTTACATGGATAAGTTCTTTAGCGGTAATTTCCGAGATTTTGGTGCACTCGTCACTCAAGCAATGTACACTGTACCCGATGTGTGGTCTTTTCTACCAGCATTTCCTTGACCTTGTTAAGTGTCTTCCTCATCACACCGTGCATAAAGTGTTGCTTAGCATTAACAAAGGAAATCATTCAAAAACCTATTCTGATGCGAGTTATGTGTGCCGTTAAGTAGCAACCAACAGTGGGAGGATGTGAAATTCCATCTGCCTTTAAGTCAGTCCATTCTTTACTGCCTTCCATTCTTTTTTTTTTTTTTTTTTTTGAGACGGAGTCTCGCTCTGTCGCCCAGGTGGGAGTGCTGTGGCGCGATCTCGGCTCACTGCAACCTCCGTCTCCCGGGTTCACGCCATTCTCCTGCCTCAGCCTCCCGAGCAGCTGGGACCACAGGCGCCCGCCACCATGCCCGGATAATTTTTTGTATTTTTAGTAGAGACGGGGTTTCACCGTGTTAGTCAGGATGGTCTCGATCTCCTGACCTCGTGATCCGCCCGCCTCGGCCTCCCAAAGTGCTGGGATTACAGGCATGAGCCACTGCGCCCAACCAGCCTTCCATTGTTAACATTCCACCCATCACACAGGCCCCGGATGCAGAGTCATTCTCTGTTATAGTTCTTTCTGGGAAAAATAATGCATCTTTTGTTCTATCAGATGTAGTAGATGTAGGAAAGCAAGAGAGAGAAGAATCTCAATAGTCAGAGAGGCTGAAATGTCATTCGCAATACATCGCTGCCCTTGTGGCCTAACACGGCTTCAGCACCTCCCTCCCCATGTCTAGATGACACCCCACCCGCCTCCCCAACACGGCTTCAGCACCTCCCTCCCCGTGTCTAGAGGACACCCCACCCGCCTCCCCAACACGGCTTCAGCACCTCCCTTCCCATGTCTACATGACACCCCACCCGCCTCCCCAACACGGCTTCAGCACCTCCCTCCCGTGTCTAGAGGACACCCTGCCTCCCTGAAGTCCTGGGGCTCCTGCAGTCATCTGCCACTCAGGTGGCCCAGTGGCTCCCTGCCTGCATCCGAGGCCAACTCTTGTCCCTCTGTCTGTCTGAACGGGAGGGTGCACTGCAGGGCCTTTGCTTACCATTTCATCTCTGGTGGTCTCTTTATTTTAGCACAATTCTGTCATTCATCCATTTTCTCCAAAATCCTTTGTTTGAGCACCTAATACGTAGCAGGCACCTTTCCAGGCACTGAGCAAACTATTAAACAAACTATGGCCTACATTTCAGTGGGGGAAATAAAATGAATAAGTACAAGAAAAAAGGATGTAAATGTTGAACACAGGGAAAAAAGGCAAGGCGGTAAGAAGGTGAGAACGTCCAGGATGGGAGGTCTGCATTTTCAGGAAGGCCATCAAGAAAGGCCTCGCTGACAAGGTGACCTTGGAGCAAAGTTTGGGTGGAGCTAAGGGAGTGGGGTGGATGAGGCTGTCTGGGGTCCGCTGGAGAGCAGCAGTCATACATCTAAGCAAGACCGGTCCACTAGCTGAGTGTCCTCCAGCTATCTTCAGCTAGATGGTACACATTAGGCTGGAGTTGGCCTAAGCCAAGTGATTTTGATGACAAGAGCAGGGGAGGGGAGCTGAGGGTGTGCGAAGGATGAACTGTCATGGTGGAGCGCAGACTTCATGCTGTTGAGAGGCTCAGCAGCCTCCAGCACCCACACAGCTGCTTCCTTTTTTGTGCCCTGGAAGAGAAAAGGCCTGGCCTTGGCAGGCACACGTGAACACGAGGGGCCCGTAGCCTAAGCTTCCTCCGTGCTGCGGCAGATCCACCTGTGCTTTCGGAAGCAGAACAGAGAAGGGGAAAGCCACGTGGGAATGGGGGTGGTGACCCTGAAGCCCTGGGCTTCTTGTGGAGATGGAGGTGAGCCAGGATGCAGAGCCTAGGGGTCTCTGGCAAGCATCAGGATAGGACTTGGGCCATGGGAAGCTGTCAACAGAGGGATGGTACTCAGAGCCCGGCCACCTTTTTGTTCCGGAAGTAGTGAGGGGAGGTTTTAGCTACAGCATCCAGGTTGTCAGGACTCCACCTTAAGCCCTGAAACACCTGAATATGTCTGACTCCATGTTAACTCCTGTTGCTAAGGGAAGTGGAGAGGCCCAGGATGAGGGTGGTCTTACCTGCAGTAAGACCTGTCTGTGTGAACTGGAGATGCGCACGCCACCTGGCTGGAGGGTGGGATGGGGCGAGCTTAGCACAGCAGGTTCTATCCACTCCAGAAAATGATGACATCGTGCATTTAGAAACCCCCATAGCATTCTCCAGGAGAGACCTGGCCTGTGCCTTCCTCTAGTGCCCACTGTCTTCTGGTTAAAAGTCAAGTCTGGGAAATGACAGGGAGAATCCAGAAGCTTCAGGCAGCTGGAGCAAGGGGTTGTTGGGTGACACCTTGGGGTACCCCCCCATCCCCAGAGGCTATAGCCTTTTGCATTCAAACTCCACCCAAGAATATCTTATGGCATTAGCCAAGTGTGGCTTACAGGGCTATGCAGAGACCATGAGGAGAGTGTGAGAGCGAACCCCTTGTTAGCTGAGTGTGTGCTGCACTATTCAGTTATTATCTTCACCACTGGAGATATTTTAACCAATACCACAGGATCACTCACAAGAAATGACGTAGAGAGGATTCATGAATTAAAAGGGAGTCGGAGAGGATGATTTCTATGGTTTCGGAACTGCTTCTGTAATTCTTTCAGCCTTCCATGAACTTGCATTGCTTTCAGGTCTCTGCGTACTTGCTGTCGGTGCCCTGTGAGTCAGTAGAGAGGCCTCTGCATAGACAGTGAACTTCCCGAGAACAGGGGCCTGGCTTTATTTTCTTTTTGTATCCCCAGAACCTTGAACACAGCATGGGAACTGGCTCTGTATGGTAAGTTCTCACTTAACGTCAGCAAGAGGTGCTTGGAAACTGTGACTTTAAGTGGAACAACAAATACAGAAACCAACTTTACCATAGGCCAGTCGATACAGACAAGACTTAAGTTCCTAACAACATATTTCTGGTCACAAAAACATCACCAGTCTTCTAAATATAGACCCAAAACATTTCTAATATTCAACACTGAAATAAATGAGCCGTACATACATTTAAGAAAGATTAATTAAAACAAGTAAGATCATTATTTATCCAATTCCTGGTGAATCAGGGAGTGACAGTAGTCATTGTGGTGGGGGGTGAAATCAAAGCAAAAACTGTGAGGACCACCTTCTACTCCCACAAAGTTAAAAACAAACAGGGTGGGCTCCCTGAGCCCTCTCCAGCCACTTGGGTCATTGCCATGCATTTGTAGGGTGATAGTAGACTTTACAAATTGTTATTTTACAATAATTTGTTTTTATGCATTCGTTTCCCAACCCGCTTATTCCAGTTCAGGGTCACAGGTGATCGGAGCCCATCCTGGCAGCAGCTCCGGGCGCAAGGCAGGAAGCAGCCCTCGGGCAACGGCAGGGCCCCTCATTCTCACACCCACGCTCACTCCCAGGACGCCCTGTAGACACACCCATTCGTGAACAGGCACATCTTTGAGATGTGGGAGAAAACCAGAGCACCGGAGAAAACCCACAGAGTCATGGGGAGAAAGTGCAAGCCCCACACACACGGTGGCCCTTGACGGGAAGCAGCTTTCTCCTCGCCAACACTGTGATGAAATGATACCGAACAGCCCGGGCGTGGTGGCTCACACCTGTAATCCCAGCACTTTGGGAGGCCAAGGCAGGTGGACCACCTGAAGTCAGGAGTTTGAGACCAGCCTGGCCAACATGATGAAACCGCTTCTCTACTAAAAATACAAAAAATTAGCGGGGCGTGGTGGTGCGTGCCTGTAGTCCCAGCTACTCAGGAGGCTGAGGCAGGAGAATCACTTGAACTCAGGGGGCAGAGGTTGCAGGGAACCATTGCACTCCAGCCTTGGCGACACAGTGAGACTTCATCTCAAAAAAAAAAAAATGACATTGAACAGAGTGGCATCATTTGAGGACCTGCCGTGTTAAGTGACTGATTGGTGGATTAGTAGATTGATGTTGCTACTGGGGTTACCTAGCACAGAAATTACAATGGCTTATGTCCCAATCAACCCATTGTAAGTTGAAAATATCATTTTGCAGACATGATGGGACGCGAACACACAAAATATCCAGAAAACGCTGGCAACAGGGCACACCGTAGCGTATGGGTTGTCTGCCCTTCTGATGGTGCAGCTGCCTGGGAGCTGGTGCTGGTGGCCCTGCCCACACGCAGAGGGCACATCACACTGCACATGGCTTCCCAGGAAAAGATCAAAATTCAAAACTTGGAGTGCTGGTTTCTACTGAATGCGTATCACTTCTGCACCATCATAAAGTTGAAGAATTAAGTCGAACCATCGTAAGTTGGAAACCATCTGTACTATGACCTTTTCTTTCAAAAATGCCGTAATATATAATTATGAAGTAAATAGGACAGAATGATAAATGTGAAGACTAGCTGTAGGGTAAAGGAATTGGTTGTGCAATTTTTGCCTTTCTTTCCCTCAAATAAAAGTGTTCTAAAGACAAATAAAACTCACTTTAAAAACAAAAATAGCTGGTACCAATGAGAGTGTGTGACCATCGGAGTTTGACTAAGTCAACGTAGTGTAGTCATAGGATGGACATGATCCAAGACCATCCTGAAAAGCAGTGCATAGCTAATGACATAAGGAAGCGGTCAGGAAATGTGGCTTTAAAAAAGACTGAAAAAAAAAAGCATTTTATCACTTTCCCTGCAGCAACCTCCCTGCCTTCTCTCCTCTGCAAACACCTGGCAGCTCCGTTCTGCTCCCAGTCCTTTCCACTGTTAGGTCAAAACAGCGTGAAGGATCTCATGCTCATCCCATCCCCATCTCAAACTTCTGACACCCTCAGAATGATGTCCTTCCAATGGGAAAAGATTTGCAACATGTTTCTTCTCATTCCCTCTAGCTAAGTTGCTTCTTTACAGCTCCTCATTTGGAACTTGTAATTAAAACTGCCCAAATATTGCATATTGTGACAAGAGGCAAAGGGGGATGTGGAGCTGACCTGACCAGTGTCCACTCAGGACCAGCTGCGCCTCCACTATGCTAATCATTTCGGCACTCACTCCTCACACAAGGCTGCAGGGCACAGGGAGTGCTGAGTCATGGAGACACCTCCATTCTCCTTCCTCAGATCTGTCCAACCCTCCTCTATCCTTATGGTTAAACAAGAAGCCTCTATTTCCATCTTCTCCTCCCCACAGGTACCTCGTGTTCTGCTGAAAGCTCTCGGCCCGGTGTGCTCCAGCTCACCTGTGGCAGACACCGAGTGCTCACTGGAGTCACAAGACACGTTCTGGCCAATGGTGACATAAATGGTGCGTGACCCTTCCAGGCTGAGGCAATCAAGATAAGTTCCATCTGCAGTCCTCGCTTCCCCCCACCCGAGGGACCTGGGAGGCCACAGCTCTGATAACATGAAAGTAGAGTCAGAATCCCCGAGTCACTGCCGGAATGTGAGCCCTGGGCAGCCCAGGCAGGATTTGGGGTGAGGGAGAAAGCTTTGTTGTGTTAAGCTGCTGAGATCTCAGGGTTTATGTACCAGCTGCAGTAATTGCCCTGATTAATGCAGAAATGAGACGTAAAAGAGGGGAGCTGCCCTAACCTCGATCTAAAATATGTGGCTTTGAGTAGCCCATGGCAAGGAATCTGTTAGAGGAGGCAGGAAAGGCAAACTTCTACCATACTCTGCAGGAAGAGGTTTGGGAAAGCTACTGCTTATAATACACGGAAGGCAGGCCAAGTGCCACCTGTCCTCGTAGCTCTAGGGCAGGACATAGGAGAACTGGGTGCCACTGGATGTTACTTGGATGTGTTGGCTGCACTGCTCAAGGTATTTCAAGGAAGAAGTGGTCTCAGGAAAGAGTCATTCAGTGTGAAACAAGCAGCCATAAAAATGAACAGAGAAAGTCCAAAACTTCCAAGTCTTAAAGTACTGGAAACATGAACTGTTTCTAGATTCCAAGGTTTAACAGATGGGACTAAAAGCGGCTTTGTGAGCAAAAGCACATAAAACCTTTCACTTTGGTAAAATCACTAAGGGCAAAGAACAGATGGGAGGTATGTGGCTTTCACAGTGATTGCCAGCAGGCCAGCGATGAAACAGAGTGCTGGCCAGAGCCAGAGCAAGAAGGAGAGACAGACAACAGACAGACAGACAGACAGACAGACCGGGGAAGCTAGGGGCAATGGGACAAGAAAGTAGAGAAATTAAACAACTTGAGGAATTTTCTTGAAACA
This sequence comes from Homo sapiens, assembly GCF_000001405.40. Classification (NCBI taxonomy): domain Eukaryota; kingdom Metazoa; phylum Chordata; class Mammalia; order Primates; family Hominidae; genus Homo; species Homo sapiens. The sequence continues at coordinate 780,709 of NC_000006.12, read as the reverse complement.
GCCTTTGGATGTAGTTAATGGCACATGGAACTGACTGGAAACAAGTAAACCAGAAGTCTCCTTTAAAGTTTTCAACAGCTTTATTGAGATACAATCCATATGCCATAAAGTTCACCCATTTAGTGTATATAATTCAATGAGAAAGTTCACCCATTAGTGTATATAATTCAATGAGAAAGTTCACCCATTTAGTGTATATAATTCAATGAGAAAGTTCACCCATTTAGTGTATATAATTCAATGAGAAAGTTCACCCATTTAGTGTATACAATTCGATGATAAAGTTCACCCGTTTAGTGTATATAATTCAATGAATTTTACCATATTCTCAAAGTTGTGCAACCACCATCACAAGCAATTTTCAGAGACCTTTCTCACCTCCCAGAAACGCCCTCTACCCATAGCAGTCACTCCTCACTTCCCCCCAGTCGCCCCACCCCCAGCCCTAGGCAACCAGGAATCCATGTGCTGTGTCCATAGAACTGTCTACCGTGGAAACTTCATATGTGTGGAATGACACATGTGGCCTCTGCATCTGGCTTCTTTCACATAGCCTAATGTTTTCAAGGCTGGCGCATGTTGTAGCATCTATCAGAACTTCATTCCTCCTTACAGCTGATAACACTCCATTATGTGGATATGGATATGCCACACTTTATCTTTTCATCAGTTCGTGGACATCTGGATTGTCTCCACTTTTTGACTACTGTGAGTATTGCTGCTGTGATCACTCTTGCACATATTTTTGTAGGGACGTATGTTTCAATTTTCCTGGGTATGGACCTAGGAGTAGAATTTGCCAGGTCACATGGTAATTCTGTGTTTAACTTTGAAGAACTGCCAGACTGTTTGCCAAAGTGGCTGCACCATTTCCCATTCCCATGAGCAGTCTGTGAGGGCTCCGATTTCTCCACGTCCTCACCGACACGTGTTTGTCCATCTTTTTTATAATAACCATCCTAGTGGGTGTGAAATTCTATCTTACTGTAGTTATGATTGCATTTCCCAGATGGCTAATGAGGTTGAGCATCTTTGTATGTACCTGCTGGCCTTTGGTATACCTTCTTAGAAGAAATTTCTATTCAAATTCTTTGCCCATTTTTAAATTGGGTCATGTTTTTATTGTTGAATTGCAAGAGGGATATATCCTGAATTAGACCCTTATTAGACATACGATTTACAAATATTCCTGTCATTCTACGGGCTGTCTTTTCACTTTCTTGACAGTGTACTTTGAAACACAAAATTTTACAATTTGGATCAAGTCCAATTTACCTATTTTTTCTTTGGCGGCTTGTGTTTTTGGCGTCATAGCTAAGAAACCAATTTCAGCCTGTGGTAATTTCCCACTCTATACACCTCCAGTAACTTTTTATTTATTTATTTTTTTATGAGACAGAGTCTCGCTCTGTTGCCCAGGCTGGAGTGCAGTGGCACGATCTCCACTCACTATAAGCTCCACCTCCCGGGTTCACACCATTCTCCTGCCTCAGCCTCCCGAGTAGCTGGGACTACAGGCGCCCGCCACCACTCCCGGCTAATTTTTTTGTATTTTTAGTAGAAACGGGGTTTCACCACGTTAGTCAGGATGGTCTCGATCTCCTGACCCTGTGATCCACCCATCTTGGCCTCCCAAAGTGCTGAGATTACAGGCCTCAGCCACCGCACCCGGCCACACCTCCAGTAACTTTTAATAGTTACAAAAGGCTAGGACCAGCCCTCGTAAGAATTTTTGAGTTCTATTTTTTAATCAGAGATGTGATACAATACAAAAATTAGTCTGAAATGACTGAAGTATTGTATCTGCAAATGAAAACAGCATCCCTTTATCCAGAAAAGAAAATAGAGGCCAGTCACTGAGACACATCCCGGTTAGACTGTTGCACTTCACTCAAACTGTGAAGATCATGAACATTTTCTTCCAATATCCCAGAAGAAAAAGGAAGACACCTACAAAGGGGAAAATTCCTTTTAGGCTCAGGTTTTTACAGCAGGCAATGCTAGAAAATAATGCAAGTCTGCAAAACTTTGCGGGAAAGAAAGTGTGACTGTGGAATATTACATTCTTATCATTGAATAGTTTAAAAGCTGCAGTGAAGTTTTAAAAATCGTCTCTGTAGCGTCTCCTCTGTCACCAGAGAATCACACCATTCACACATCATTCTGCGCTGCTTCTTGCTTTCTAGTGGTCCTGCATGTTATTATTTCCAAACCTGGACTATAAATCCCTTGAGGGCAGAAACATTTCTCTTTTGCTCTTCACAGCACAGGGCTGCCATCGATACTCTACCCAGTGTCATAAATACTGAGGTGTCACAGACACCTCCGTGCCCAGCCTGTCCTCCTGGCTTTTAGAAAGTTGGCTTCCCTAAGGCAGGGATTCTCAAACTTCCATGCACATTAGGTCACCTGGAGGGCTTGGTAAGACAGACTGCCTGACCTCACCCTCAGAGGTCCTAATTCAGCGGGTCTGGGGTGGTCTGGGGTGGAACTGCATTTCCAACAGTTCCTGGATGACGCTGATGCTCTGGTTAGGAGCACACTTCTAGAACCCAGCTCTAATGCCGTCCCCAAATTTGGCTGCACATTGAAATCACCTGGGAGGATTATTGCTGATGTCTGGGTCTCACCTCCGATACAAAATGATTTGATCAGTCAGAGCGTGGGCTGAGTACCCAAGTGATTCTAATGCACATCCCAGGTGGAAAACCACCACTCCAGTGCCCAGGTGAGTCTGTGTTCCCCTTCATCTTCCTGTGTCTTCATTTGCATCACGACATGGATAGACACAGAGAGCTGGACCTGAATATGATTAAGGCAAGGGCTTTGGTGGGTTTATTTATCCCCTTATCCCCAGAATCTGTAACAGTAATCAATAATGGGGGCTTCAAAATGCTCTCTGAATGAAAGATGGAATGAAAGAATTAGGACAAATCACACCAGGGAGTTATCACGCAGCGTCCCAGGGGAAGTCCCCTCTCCCATCCCTCCACACAGCCTGGCTTCGTGCCTGGGACAGGATCGCACCCCCTGGACGTACTCTCCTGCCCCAGGTTACCTTACTCTGTGTGGTCTCCTCTCCTAGGTGCCTCAGGGTTTGCCCTGGCATTTGGTCATGCTCTGTCCAAGTCCCACGGGGGCGGGAGGCAGGTACGGCAGCCAGAGATCCTGTCCCATGATCTGGCGTGCACTCGAAGGCCACATCAGATTTATTTTTTCTAAATTTCTCACCATTGCAAAAAAAGAGCATGCGTGTTTCTTGAATAACTGAGCTTTTTATGTAATGTCTGTCAAATGGAGCTTTCCAATGCATTACAGAAATTACTCTTGTTAAATTCAGCAAGGACCTGCCTCTGGTCAAACACAGCGGTTAATTTTCTATCTTCATCTCACACAACTTCTCGATAGTTTAGACAGCAATGACCATTGGAGACGCTTTCATGGCCTGGCTTGGGTTGTACTCCTTTTCTCCGTGTTTCCCCTCCCTTTGCAGCTGCTGCTCAATGCTTCTTTGCTAGTCCTTTATCTTGGCTCAACCGCCAAGGCTGGAAGGTCCCTGGATTCTTTCCTGAGTGCCCTCCTCATCTACACCATCCTCATCAGTGATCCTATCTGGACCTCTTGGGTGGGAAACGGGGAGAGCAAGAAGGGAAGGCGGGGAGGCCAGTCTTTCCCATTCGATTATGTGTATATATAGTACATGGTATATCATTCACAACTAAAAATCCTCTCTGTTGCAGACACGTTCTGAATTACCAGCGATTTCACTCACTCAGAATACATAGAGACGAGGCTCCTCATTCAGAATCTCCCTGCACCTCATGATGGACTTGGCTGCACATGGGACAACTCAGTCATTTCCTGGAACTTGCATTTCACTGGGAGAGGCCTGCTCTCAGGGAGGGTGCTTTTTGTGGTCTTCCATGTACAGCTAATTAAGATTCTGACTGGGTTTAGGATCAAAGAAAGCTGTCCCATTGCATTCCCACATTCTTCCTTCTTCTTTCAATGTCTTCCAAGATCTATTTTAAACGGGAAGTGTTGTGTACTTTTCAGGGGCCCTTTGACCTGTTCCCAGTAAATCAAAACAGGAAGGTAGGTCTCAGCCCTTCGCCTAACAGCCAATCAGTGTGAGACCAAGGTCTGCACAGCTGTGTCTATGTCCAGTGCCCAACCAGGGAAGTGGTATTTCCAAAGGCTTCCCTGAGGTCGGTCTATGGTAGCTGTTTGCTAATCTGAATCCATGTTGGTGATTAATTTTGGAATTCGACTCTTTGAGTGTATAAGGGACAGGGTGCAAAGGGAAAACATCTCAGAGAACTTCTACAAATATTAGGAGTTGGTGCAAGAAGTTCACAGTGAGCTGGGAAGGAGTGGGAAGAAATAACAGGGCCTTGGATCCTTTCCAATTCCCACCCCGGTGCGCTTGGCAGCTCACATGATACCTCGACTTTTCCAAATATTGGGGAGAAAAAGCAGCCAAGGTTTTATGTAAGAATGAAAAGGGCCTGAAGCATTTCAATTTCCGGGTGGCTAAACAAAAGAGGACACACACCAGGGAAAGCCCCTTAAAGTGTGTGCAGAAGAGTTGGACAAAAGAGAAGAGGCATTTAATCAGACAGAGAAAAAAATAGAAATGATGTCATTATTTGGGTATAGTGAGGTTGCCATGTAGGTGTGTTTGTATAAATTCCTTGGGCTTTTCCTAGTAATGAGATAATGCTGTAAGGTCCCCAGTTCCTCAAAAATTTAGCTAAAACTTGGAGCGATACTAATTACAAAACACAATCGCCACGCAGGTAAAGCTATACATATCATAAATATAGTCTACTGCTTACAGGATGAGACCCTTGTTAGCATGGGAGGGGCCCGATTTCATAATTTGTACACCTGCAATGCAGGGACTGATCTCTCTGTAGGTGCACATTTGCCTCAGGGTACACTGGCCTAGTGCGGCACTGCCCTACAAAGGCAAATCCTCCATCAATACATAATGAAAAACGACCCATCAAAAAAATAAGTCAGAGTTGGGGAGGCACAGAAAAAGTGACAAATTGATTCCAGACTCTTCTTTTTTAGGCCATCATGGAAACAGTTACTGGATTTATATTGGAAAATTCCTACCAGGGTGTGACGCCTTCAATCGCCCTTCGTTTCCCGTGATCTCCCCAGGAGCAGGCAGAGGGGCATCCTGGGAACCGACCGCGAGGTGGCCTGGATCTTACTGCTGCCACTGAGTGCCGCTCCCAGGAATGTGGGCACGGGGATCCAAAACCTCAGACGCACTGCAGGAATGTGGGCACGGAGAGCCAAAACCTCAGACGCACCGCAAGGTGCCCACAACCTCATTCGTGTGCTTGGACACCTGAAAATCCTTTACCTGGTACCTTTAATTGACAAATTTCATATAATCACCACTTTTCGTAATATCTGAGGAATTCCACTAAAGAAAGAGGGATGCCTGAACACTGGAGACACACAAATGTCCGTATTTTATATAAGAAAGGTCAAGGCAATGAATTTAGCGTTCTAGACTGCTACATTTAATATGGATACCTTGAAAAGCGATGATGGAATAATTTATTGACAGCTTTGTTGTATTTTAAAAGTAATAAAGGAGGCATCCAACCAAACAAGTTCATTGAATTTTTGATGGGGCCATGAGACCTGTAGATCAGAAGGACACAGGCAGTGTGATTTCCTCAAAGTGTTTGACTTGACAAAGGAGGGAGGAATTAAAGTGTAAGGAGACGTTGATAGTTGATTAAACAACAGCGACCTAAAGGGTGCTGAGAAGTCCACTGCTGTTAACCTGGAGGAAAGTCCCCTGAGTCCCAGCTGTTGGGGACAGCTCATCTGCCAGGCAACAGAATCCATGTTCAAGATGATTTCAAGGCCCAAAGGAAGAGACAAAAACAAATACAAACAATTCATTAGAAATAAAAGTTTTTTAAAATGTGAAATTCTGATTTTAGATTCCCACAAATAATTTCATAATTTTGGCAGAGATAACATCTAGCTTGGGAGTGGGTTTTGAGAAAACAGGCTTGAAGATGAGTTGTAAGAGCACGAAAAAGGAAAAATGCAGGTGGGCTCAGTCTTCATTCATAGAAGCATGGAGTCCCTATCAAGGCAGGTAATTAGGATGTGCCTCAGTTTCCCCAGGACCCTTTCTGCTAGCTTCGTGCACTTGTGTCAGAAGAGGCCATTAACCATGCTGTCCCCAGACTCCCTCCCACATTTCTTGACTTGTCAGGCTTTCCTGTGAGACTCATTTTCCCCTCCCTGTTGTTCTATTCTTTGACCTAATTACTGGCTGAACTAACAAGCGTTACTTGCCTTCAATGTATTCTCTCACCCTTCATCTATTAAAAACATAATACCCATGCTCAACTTTGAAGGCCCAGCTTGAATCCTACCTTCTCAGTGTGGTTTTCCTCTTCCTCACCAACAGAAATGACCTGGTCTTCCTCCAGGGGCTTGTGAACCTAGTGGCCATGGTCCTTAGGACTCTTACCAGCCTTATCACATGCACTATTGTCTTCTATGAGAGTTGGTACATTTCAGAGCATCCTAAATCATTTCTTAGGCAACAGAGGACATCAGTTGTACTTTTATAAAGATTCTATTTAAGATGTAGCTTTCTGTCAATAAACTAGGTATTGAAGGAACATACCTCAAATAATAACAGCCATTTATGACAAACCCACAGCCAATATCTTATTGAATGGGCACAAGCTGGAAGCATTCCCCTTGAAAATCGGCACAAGACAAGGATGCCCTCTCTCACCACTCCTATTCAACACAGTATTGGAAGTTTTGGCCAGGGCAATCAGATAAGAGAAAGAAATAAAGGGTATTCAAATAGGAAGAGAGGAAGTCAAATTGTCTCTGTTTGCAGATGACATGATCCTATATCTAGAAAACCTCATCATGTCAGCCCAAAAGCTTCTTCTTCTTTTTTTTTTTTTTTTTTTTTTTGAGATGGAGCCTCACTTTGTCGCCAAGGCTGGAGTGCAGCAGTGCGATCTTGGCTCACTGCGACCTCCACCTCCTGGGTTCAAGCAATTCTCCTGCCTCAGCCTCCCGAGTAGCTGGGGCTACAGGCACATGCTGCCGCGCCCAGATAATTTTTTGTAATTCAGTAGAGACATGGTTTCATTGTGTTGCCCAGGCTGGTCTCGAACTCCTGAGCTCAGGCAATCTGCTTGCCCCAGCCTCCCAAAGTGCTAGGATTATAGGTGTGAGCCACTGTGACCAGCCTCAAAAGCTTCTTAAGCTAATAACCAACTTCAGCAAAGTCTCAGGATACAAAATCAGTGTGCAAAAGTCACAAGCATTCCTATACATCAACAACATACAAGCAGAGAGCCAAATCATAAATGAACTCCCATTCACAATTGCTACAAAGAGAACAAAATACACAGGAATACAACTAACAAGGGAAGTGTAGGACCTCTTCAAGGAGACTACAAACTATTGCTCAAGGAAATCAGGACACAAACAAATGGAAAAACATCTCATGCTCATGGATAGGAAGAATCATTATTGTGAAAATGGTCATACTGCTCAAAGTAATGTATAGATTCATGCTATTCCCATTAAACTACCAATGACGTTCTTCACAGAATTAGAAAAAACTATTTTAAAATTCATATGGAGCCAACAAAGAGCCCATATAGCCAAGACAATCCTAAGCAAGAAGAACAAAGCTGGAGGCATCATGTTATCCAACTTCAAACTATACTATAAGGCTACAGTAACCAAAAGAGCATGGTACTAGTACAAAAACAGACACATAGACTAATGGAACAGAATAGAAAACTCAGAAATAAGACTGTACATCTACAACCATCTGATCTTCAACAAACCTGACAAAAACAAGCAATGGGTAAAGGATTCCTTATTTAATAAATGGTGCTGGGAGAACTGGCTAGTCATATACAGAAAATTGAATATGGACCCCTTCCTTATACCTTATACAAAAGTTAACTCAAGATGGATTAAAGACTTAAATGTAAAACCCAAAACTATAAAAACCCTAGAAGAAAATCTAGGCAATACCATTCAGTGCATAGGCACGGGCAAAGATTTCATGAAGAAAATGTCAAAAGCAATTGCAACAAAAGCAAAAATTGACAAATGGGATCTAATTAAACTAAAGAGCTTCTGCACAGGAAAGGAAACTATCAGACTGAATAGACAACCTACAGAATGGGAGAAAATTTTTGCAATCTATCCACCTGACAAAGGGCTAATATCCAGAATCTACAAGGAACTTAAACAAATTTAGAAGAAAAAAACAAACAACTCCATTAAAAAGTGGGCAAAGGACATGAACAGACACTTCTCAAGAGAAGACATTTATGTAGCCAACAGACATATGAAAAAAAGCTCAACACCATTGTCATTAGAGAAATGCAAATCAAAGCCACAATAAGATACCATCTCATGCCAGTCAGAATGGTGATTATTAAAAAGTCAAGAAACAACAGATGCTGGTGAGGCTGTGGAGAAATAGGAACACTTTCTATACTGTTGGTGGGAATGTAAATTAGTTCAACCATTGTGGAACACAGTGTGGCAATTCCTCAAAGACCTAGAACCAGAAATACCATTTGACCCAGCAATCCATTACTGGGTATATACCCAAAGGACTATAAATCATTCCATTATAAAAATACATGCATGCATATGTTCACTGCAGCACTATTCACAGTAGCAAAGACAGAGAATCAACCCAAATGCCCATTAATAAAAGACTGGATAAAGAAAATGTGGTACATATACACCATGGAATACTATGCAGCCATAAAAAGGAATGAGATAATGTCCTTTGCAGGGACATGGATGGAGCCAGAAGTCATTATCCTCAGAAAACTAACACAGGAACAGAAAACCAAACACAGCATGTTCTCACTTATAAGTGGGAGATGAACAATGAGAACACATGGACACAGGGAGGGGAACAATGCACACTGGGGCCTGTCATGGATGTTAGGGAAGAAGAGCATCAGGATAAAGAGGTAATGCACATGGGGCTTAATACCTAAGTGATGGGTTGATAGGTGCAGAAAACCACCATGGCACACCATTTACCTATGTAACAAACCTGTACATCCTTCATATGTACCCTACGACTTAAAATAAAATTTAAAAAATAGTAATACTAAGATGTAGCTTTATTTATGACTTGTGTTGTAAAATTTAGACTCTCTTAGGTTCAAGCAAAAATTTCTACACATTTCTCTACTGATAAGGAAAACACTCCTCTATAAGGCATCAATATTAGCAAATGTACATAACCAAGGAATGCATGACACTGAGATACATATTTAAAGCAATAGTTACAGCAAGTAGCTTGAATGAAAATTTTAGGAGAATGCAACTGATCTTGTCTTAAGATAATATGGAATAACTGAGGTACAATGGGAAAGAAACAAACAAAGATCATCAATCAAATATGAGAAGGCTTCCTTGATTCCAGCATTTTGGGCCTAACTCTCAATCTGTAACAAGTCTCCCAAGAAAGGTAAGTGAGTGAGAGAGAGAGAGAGAGAGAGAGAGACAGAGAGAGACAGAGAGAGAGAGAGAGAGAGAGACAGAGACAGAGAGAAAGGAAGGAAGGAGGGAGGGAGGGAGGAAGGAGAAAAAAGAAAGATTTTCATTCTTCATTAACTAAATTATATTTAGTGCATACTCTGTGTCAGGCACTGCCATGTGCTTTTGAAATAAAGAAGTTAACAAAATGTACATAGTCTCTGTGTTCATGGAGCATCCATTGTACCTCAGGATCGGAATAACCCAGTAAAAGGTCAGGTACAATAATAACTATAAGAATTAACAGGTTATGTGAGGGGGATAGAGAGTGATAGCGGTGGTATTTTATAACTGGTGTTAACTGAATCTTCACAATAATGCTCTGAAGCAAATAAAGGCCGTTCATTTGAGGCTAATCTTAAAATGAGAAAACTAAAGCTCAGAGATGATTACAGGAAGCAGCAGACTCAAGACTAAGTCCCAGCATTCCCAACTCAATCTGATACTCATTTTATTTTATCACCTTGCCTGATCAGAGGATCAGGAAATTATGCTTGTTTGAAGAGCTCTTCTTAACAAAGCAAAATGTGGGGAAGCCAAAGCTGTAGGCGACCACTTTTTTATTATTATTTTTATTTATTTTTTATTTCAATAGGTTTTTACGGAGCAGATGGTGTTTGGTTACATGAATAAGTTCTTCAGAGGTGATTTCTAAGATTTTGGTGGACCAATCACCCAAGCAGTGTACCCTGTACCCAAGGTGTAGTCTTTTATTCCTCACCCCTCTCCCACCCTTTCTCCCCAAGCCCCAAAGTCCATTGTATAATTCCTATGCCTTTGCATCCTCATAGCTTAGCTCCTACTTATCAGTAAGAACATACAATGTTTGGTTTACTATTCCTGAGTTAGTTCACTTAGAATAATAGTCTCCCATTCCATCCAGGTTGCCGTGAATGCCATTATTTTGTTCCTTTATATGGAGGAGTAGTATTCCATGGTATATGGATGTAAATATGGTATATTTCCTTTCCTTTCTATATATATATATGTATATATACGTATATATGTATATATATGCATATATACGTATATATGTATGTATATGTGTGTATATATGTATGTGTATATATTATATATATGTATGTATATATGTATGTGTATATATATGTATATATATGTATGTGTGTGTGTGTGTATATATATATATCACATTTTCTTTATTCACTCATTGATTGACAGCCATTTGGGCGGATTCCACATTTTTGCAATTGCAAATTTTGCTGCTATAAACATGCATGTGCAAGTATCTTTTTTGTATAATGACTTCTTTCCCTCTGGGTAGATACCCAGTAGTGGGGTTGCTGGATAAAACTATAGACCTACTTTTAGTTCTTTAAGGAATCTCCACACTGTTTTCCACAGTGGCTGTACTAGTTTACATTCCCACCAACAACGTAAAAGTGTTCCCTTTTCACCACATCCACGCCAACACCTATTTTAAAAAATTTTTATTCTGGCCATTCTTGCAGGAGTAAGGTGATACTGCATTGCGGTTTTGATTTGCATTTCCCTGATAATTAGTGATGTTGAGCATTCTTCCATATGCTTGTTGGCCATTTGTATATCTTCTTTTGAGAATTGTCTACTCATGTCTTTAGCCCACGTTTTGATGGGATTGTTTGGTTTTTCCTTGCTGATTTGCTTGAGTTCTTAGTAGATTGTGGATGTTAGTCCTTTGTCGGACATATAGATTATGAAGATTTTCTCCCATCCTGTGAGTTGTCTGTTAACTCTGCTGATTATTTCTTTTGCTGTGCAGAAGCTTTTTAGTTTAATTAAGTTTCATCTATTCATCTTTTGTTTTTATTGCATTTGCTTTTGGGTTCTTGGTCACGAAGTCTTTGCCTAAGCCAATGTCTAGAAGGGTTTTACTGATGTTATCTTCTAGAATTTTTATTGTTTCAGGTCTTAGATTTAAGTCTTTGATCCATCTTGAGTTGATTTTTGTACAAGATGAGTGATAAGGATCCAGTTTCACTGCTACATGTGGCTTGCTGATTGTCCCAGTATTGTTTGTTGAATAGGGTGTCCATTCTCCACTTTATGTTTTTGTTTGCTTTGTCAAAGATGAGTTGGCTGTAAGTATTTGCCTTTATTTCTGGGTTCTCTATTCTGTTCCAGTTCCATTGGTCTATGTGCCTATTTTTATACCAGTGCCATGCTGTTTGGGTGACTATGGCCTTGTAGTATAGTTTGAAGTCAGGTAATGTAATGCCTCCAGATTTGTTGTTTTTGCTTAGTCTTGCTTTGGCTATGCGGGTTCTTTTTTGGTTCCATATGAATTTTAAGATTGCTTTTTCTAGTTCTGTGAAGAATGATGGTGGTATTTTGATGGGAATTACCTTGAATTTGTAGATTTCTTTTGGCAGTAGGGTCATTTTCACAATATTGATTCTACCCATCCATGAGCGTGGGATGTGTTTCCATTTGCTTGTGTCATCTACGATTCCTTTCAGCAGTGTTTTGTAGTTTTCCTTGTAAAAGTTTTCCAACTCCTTGGTTAGGTATATTCCTAAGCATTTTATGTTTTTTGCAGCTATAGTAAAAGGGGTTGAGTTCTTGATTTGATTATTAGCTTCGTTGCTATTGGTATACAGCAGAGCTATTGATTTGTATATATTGTGTATCCTGAAAGTTTGCTGAATTAATGTACCAGTTCTCAAACACTGTACTTTAAAATACAGTTCTCATAAACTGTACTTTAAAACTGTACTTTATATTACAAATAGTTGCATTTGTAATAAAAGTATATTTGTGTTATAAAGAAAGAAGGTGGGGGAAGACGGAGAGGGAGGGAGAAAGGAAGAGAAGGAAGAATACAGGGAGGGAGGGAAAGAAAGAAGAAAGGAGGACAGTAGGGAAGGAAAGAAAAAAAGGGAAGGTATGAGGGAAAGAAGGAAAAAGGGAGGCAGGAAGGAAGGAGAAAAGGAGGGAAGAAAGGAGGAAAGTACAGAAAGAAGGAAAGAGGAAAGGAAGGAGGAAGGAAGGAGAGAGGGAAGGAGGGAGGGAAGGAAGACAGGCAGGCAAAAAATGGAAGGAAGGAAGAAAAGAAGGAAAGAAAAGTAAAAAGGGAAGGAGGAAAGGGGGAAGGAAGAAAAGAAGGGAGAAAGGGGGGATATTAGCAGTCAGAATGGGCATGCCGTCACAAAGAAGGAATTACGGTCAGTCACGTGAAATGCTACACTGTATATGACACTGGTTTGTGAATTATAAAGCTCTATAGCAGTGTGAAGAGTTAAAGTAATCCTCACAAGCAATTACTTTGAGATAATCAGGCTTCATATTTGAAGAAAGACACTTCTTGGTTTACACAGATCAGTCCCTTAAAATAGGAAAATCCCATTGTTGTCATAGCCCACCCTCCAACACACACACATGTTGGCAGGTGTCTATGATAACGCAAACAAAGAGAAGCAATTCAACCCCAGAATTCCCACACATCAGGTAGGAAAACTAAGCGCAGAGAAAAATGTGTTTCTAAGCCCAGCAATAATTAATTAAAAGGTCACAGAAACATATAAGCATTTTTCCCCCTGGGGTTTATGTAGACAAAACTAGAGAAAAATGCAAGTATAAAACATATTACATTTCAAGCCAGTAAGGCTTGCCTCAAAACGTTTAAAGAGGTGCTGGCTGCATGACTAAAACTGGTAAGCGAGTCAGCCTTGGGAGAAAACAGTGTTTCGAAAATGGAAAGAGAGTGGTTCGGGAGAGGATCAACTGGGCCAGCAGACTTTTCCATTAACAAACCTAATTTGTTTGGGAAGCAAATTTCTCCCAGGCTTTCTTTTTTAGTGGATTATTGTCATTTCTATTAGTTTTCTCTGATCTCCACTTTTTGCTGAGACCTCAGATTTGCCAACCTTGATACTTTTCAGAAATGTGACTTTCGTGTTAATAACTGTGCACCCTCTCAGTATATTCTCACTATCTCTGTGTACCTATGATAGGTTTGCACATGCGAAGTCAACAGCTTTTATCTAAAGGGCTCCCAGAGGAAGATTCTAGCTCTCAACCATCATGGCTATGCATACAGCACGGTAACTAGAGGCAGGGACTCAGCCTCACCCCGTCTGTAAAGGAACAAAAAATGAAATGTTCAGAGCTGCTCATATAATCCTTGAACTTGGACATAAATACATCAAAGGTTTGGAAGAGATCATGGTAAGCCGTGAGAACAAAACTCAGATTTGTTTATGACACCACCCCAAAGCAAAGATCTGAAGGGTGCTTTCATTTTCAAATTCAGGGTTATTTGACACAAGGCTGATGGTGAAATGTACCCACGTGTTCAACCAAGATGGTTTCGCTCAAACAGTGAAGGGCATCAGCCTGTGAAAACTACATCGTTAAAAAAAAAAAAAAGTCTCATTTAACTTGCTGCAAATCCAGCCCATTAAGTTCCCCTCTAAAGTGGTTACGGAACATGTGGAACTTGCTGGATTCTTGGGATATTGCAAAGACAGATTTCTGATGGAGAACATTATGCACTTTTCCCTATTTCATACTTCAAATTTATTATTTTCTCCTTTTAAAATATTTTTTGCCGAGTAAAGTTTGGATTAAGCCAAAACCTCAATCTTTATATTTTATTTCAGAACATATTGTAAGTAGGCACTTGAAAGCAAATTTTAAAGCACTTGTTCTCTTTTAACTAATCCAGAACAAAGAATTTAAAATAAACTTTCCAAGGCGCTTATCAATTTCAAGATGTACAAAAACTTTTCAACACATGAAAATCTTACTTTTAAATATTATGTTATTTACATCATCAAAAAAATACATATTCAATATATTTTTCTTGAACAGCCAGATAGCTTTCCAGGTGAAGTATCACTAAATTTACAGCAATAATCCTATCATTAATCCAAAACAAAATTACAATAAGAACATTACAGTGTCCAAATATTCTGGAAACAAGGGAAATACCATATATTCATTGCACTTTTTCTGACTAAAGAGTGAACCTATTGCTTTAAGTTTAGACTTACTTTACCTACAAAGGTGTCTGGAGGTTGAGGAAAAATAGAATCAGTATATTATTGAATGTTAACTAATAAACCCTTTGAAATAAGTTTATCCTCTGTTTCCAGACTTTTCAGACAGCTTGTATATTATTTTGGCTCAGATAGCATTTTACATACTAATGAATTACATATGGGTTGCAAAACCACTGCCCAATATTAGCTAAAGATATGAATGTCCATACTGATCTACAGAGAGGGGCTGACTAGGGCCAGGGACAGAGCACAGACCATCTTTTAATGCTCAAGCTAAAAAATAAAACCTCGAACAAAATTAGGGACCGACTTCCTCCTGGGGGAACCTGGTTTTTAATAAGCACACGGTTACTAAAGTTCTGGGATGGCCAAGAATCTATGCCTTAGGTGTTGACGGCGAGCTCCAAGTCAATTACTTGTGCGTTTATTCCACACACACACTTACTGAGTGCCTACCCTGGTCCAGGCACACGCCAAGCATCACAGTCCCTGGGAAGCTGGGATGAAATGTAGCCAAATTCTCAGCACGAACGCCCTTTCTCTGAACATTCGAGAGAAGTGTGCACAAGAGGGGGCTGCCCACACGATGCACCCTGATAGGGGAGCCTAGGTTTCTGGGGGCACCTTTTGGGGCACCCCCTGTTGTTTGCTGGCCTGGAACCAACCTTAGGAACCAGAGAGATAACACCCTTTGGTTGCCTCTGTTCAAGAAGTGAGTCCCAAGCACAGCAGGTACCCCCAGTCCTAAGTTGTAAACTCACAGTAGCATAAGCATCGCCACGTTACTCAGAGTAAATACGTATTCAATTTCAATCCCCGATTGGGTACACACCACAAATATAGACTACTTTATCTGGTTAGATTGTACATGGTCAATACAATATGACAATTTACTTGCAGAATATCAGCTATATTGGATTGCTACTGCCACTCTACTAGGGCACCCCAACACAATTCATTTTCCCAACCAGATGTCCCTCCATAACCAGATGTTCAAACATTCATTGAAATGTAAGCACACAAACCTCTGATGTGCTTGCTCAGGGTCACACCCTATTCCTCCTTCAGAATCTTCCCAGGAAGTATCTCAGTGTCTTCCCCTCGCCGAAGCCACCTCCACCCTATACCCTCCATCAACAGCATCCCCACTGAGTCACCATATGCCAGTTTGTAAATACCAGAATTGAGGTCTGAAAGAACCGTCTGAGAGCTAAGCCTCAGAACCGTGAACGAGCTCAATGTAAGGGAGAATGCCAACGACAGAATCATCCACATGAGTCCTGTGTCCTTCCGGCTCCAAGCTTACCCTGAATATCACAGCCAGGTTAGTTTCCCTAATCTGTTAGTTAGAATATGGGTTTAGTTATGTTGACAACAGTCTGCGCTTCTACTCCATAAAGTGTCAAGGGACTCAGGTTCCTTCTGCGTTGATTTTCTGCCCCCTTCAAAATGCTGCTTCATTCACAGCCCTCTGCACCATCCGCACATCTGAGCCACCAGAAGGAAGGGTGGGGACCTGGACAGCCCGTCCTATTTCTTTAAGGGCAAAGCATAGATGTGCTCACATCATTTCTGTTCACAGTTACTTCCAGTGAACTTAGTCACATGGCCACACCTTGCTACAAGAGAGGCCGGGAATAAAGTCTGCATTTTGTTCAGCTATGTGCCCAGATGAAAATTCTATTGCTATGGAAGCTGAAAGAATGGATGCTGGGGGCCGGGCTTGGTAGCTCACTCCTGTAATCCCAGAACTTTGGCAGGCTGAGGCGTGTGGATCGCCTGAGGTCAGCAGTTCGAGACCAGCCTGGCCATTATGGTGAAACCCCATCTCTACTAAAAATACAACAATTAGCCAGGCGTGGTGGCAGGCACCTGTAATCCCAGCTATTCAGGAGACTGAGGCAGGACAATCGCTTGAACCCAAGAGGCGGAGGTTGCAGTGAGCCAAGCTCGTGCCACTGCACTCCAGCCTGGGCAACAGAGCAAGACTCCGACTCAAAAAAAAATTTTTTTTTAATTAAAAAAAAAAAAAGAATGGATGCTGGGGAGCAAGGGAGAGGCTCTGCCATACCAAAATACTTCATGTGTCTCTGCTCAAAATGTCCTGTCCATGTGGCACACTAGGGCAAACATCCGCTTGCACTGCAGCCATTCCAGAGCAGATGGTACTCAATGATCCAGCTTTCATCACCAGCTCAGGCTCTCCACAGCCTCCAAAACTACACACTCCACAACACTGCCTCACCGTGCCTCTTCCCCTCTTAGAGAGGCTGAGTCAATGCCCCAACTCCTCCATAAACTTCTCCCTTCTTACTATATCCCATAATACTCTTCCTCCCCTGAACTCCTTTTGCCCTTGTTGTCAGCCCAGTCTCCATTCCCTCAGTCATGATAGTGGATGCCGTTCAATGCTCACCCTTATGCCCTCGGTCCTCAGCTTCCAGGACCTGTGGAGAGCATCCATCTACAAGAACCTGCTGTGCTCCCTCTGAAGGCTTCTCATGATCTGCACAGCAGAGGCCAGAAGGGCTAAGGAGTTAACGCTCCCAGAAGCAGCTCTCAGGCAATGAAGGGGGAGAGAGCTGGAAGATGACTAGCCCATCTCCCTCACCCTCAGGCAGACTAACACCAGCTTCCGTTCCATACCATTTCCCAGTATGGCCCGTTGCCCCCAGTGCCAGTGAGCCTTGGCTGGCTTCCTTCCTTTCCCTGTCTCACTTCTGTCACTCTCCTTCCTACCCATGCTTCCTGGGTCATTCTTATTCAACTAGTAGTCCTCAGATTCTTGCCTCAGTGTCTCCTTCTTGGAAATCTGTATTAATTAGGGTTCTCCAGAGAATCAGAACCCAGGTGGGAGACGTGTGGGGAGATGATAAGAAATTGTCTCACATAATTGTAGAAGCCACGGCAGCTGCAAAGCTGGAGGCCCAACAGAGCCAGTGGTGTGGGTTCAGTTTGAGTCCGAAGGCCTGAGAACCAGGAGAGCCGATGGCATAAAAAGACGGCAGGAAAAGAACCATGTCCCAGCTCAAGAAGTCAGGGAGAGAGAACAAATTCCCCCTCCTCTGCGTTTTTGTTCTGTTCAGGGCCTCCTCAGATTGGATGGTGCTCACCCACTTAAGGGAGGGCCATCCGTTTTACACAGTCTACCAGTTTAAATGCCCATCTCATCCAAAACACCCTCACAGAAACACCCAGGATAAAGGTTAGCCAAATATCTGAACTAACCTGGTCTGGTCAAGATGACACGAAATTAATCATCACAGAACAACTAAGACAATCATACCTCATCCTCCCTACCCTCCCTAGAGTTCTGGACAATGCAAATGCCCCCATCTCATTGTGCCATATCCCCAGTGCCTGGTACACACACAGTAGGTGCTTAACAGATGTTGGAGGTTCGTCAGAACTGACTATATTTGCATGTATATTTTCCTCTCTGTTCTAATGCCAGTGTTGTAATTTGTTAGTTCAACACCCAGTCTGCTAAAGCAGGAGTGGTTGCTGCAAACTTTGTAACTGATGGTTCAGGCAGGTACCAGCCTTGTCATAACCACGCAGTAATTACACACGAAAGTATGTTTCCCTGTGCTTTACAAAGCATAAAGCTATTTGTTTTGGTTTCATCCCATCACTTCATTAAGCAGCAGAAGAGTTAGGTTATATACTGAACCAATTTTGTACTAAGCTTTGTTTACTTTCTGTTCAATGAACATGCTAATTCATTGTCATAAAATTCATAGTTTACATGAAAATCCATTGTCCCCTATTCTACCAAATGTTAACGATTCAAAATGTGCAGCAAATGGTTCCATTTAAAGAGCAACACGAGTGAGTATCGAGAACAGCCATGGAGCCCCGGAATAGGCGTCTCTTCCCCCTTTCTCCCCTCCCTGCCTCATACGCCCATCTTTCTTCCGTCTCCATCCGCAAAGAGAAGCTCATAAAAGAGAGAAATGTTTCCATCAGGCACAGCAGTGCAGAAGCTGCATACTGTTTGCATTTGCACAGTATCGTTTTTGTTATCTCCCCACGTCGTTTATAACAGTTTTGCAGTTGTGTGTGGGCGTATAGGTAAAAATTTCTCGAGTATTTTGAATTCTATAAAATCCAGAAGAAACTTTGCCAAATGTATTCCCATCTTGCTTTTTAAACTCACATACATTTAAAGGGATATTCAATACTTTTGTTTTTGACTTGGTTACTCATAGGCCATTAAAGGGTTGTCTTTTAAAAGCTATTTGCTATTCCAGGAGACTTGGGAGCCCATTTTACGATCCTTTCTAAGTCCTTTTTCTCGGAACGGGAAGTTGCATCTTGCCAAGAGTAGGCACACTGAGCAGTGCGGTAGGGCCGGGCTCTGTGAACGGCTGAGAGCTGCATCCCTCTCCTCCTGTGTGTGGATCTCACAGGGTGAAAGCTTGATCAAGACAATTACAGTGAGAAAGCAACGTGAGAAAAATCAGGAGCTTAAATGCCAGCCAAGAACCGGGCTTTCCTCTGGGTCTGAAACTAGACTGGGGAAGACGTGCCTTTCTCAAAATCCAGAGAGCTGCCCCTCCGGGCAGTGCCATCACCTTTCCGAGCTCCGTGCACCAGCTCCCGAGTCCTGCAGCGTGTGGCCGGCCGCGGCCATCGGCTTTCCTCACTCTCGTCATTTCACTTGTCATCAGCAGAAAAGGCAGAAGGAGCAGCTCTCCTTCCCCGCGTGGGGGGTACCCATCCCGGCCAGAGACACAGAGAGCTGGCCTTTCCTTCTCTTCTTACCGCTTCGCATCTGTCAGCCGAGGCCTGGGCTTAAGGGAAATGCACGGCCACGCTGGGCGGGTTTCTCGGAGCTGCCCTAACACGCTAGCACGGCCCGGGTGGCCTCCGACCACAGGCACATTCTCTCAGGCTTCTGGAAGCTGGAAGTCCAAAGTCACCGCGCCGAAAGGGCCGCCTGCCCCCTGCAGCCTAGGGAAGAATTCTCCCTCGCCGCTTCTCGTGGTGTTGCCAGCATTGCTTGATGCTTCCTGCTTTGCAGATGCGTTACTGCAACCTGCTCCGCCCCCCGGGTTCAAGCGATTCTCCGGCCTCAGCCTCCCCAGCAGCTGGGACCACAGGCGCCCCCCACCACGCCCGGCTCATTTTTTGTATTTTTAGTAGAGACGGGGTTTCACCGTGTTAGCCAGGATGGTCTCGATCTCCTGACCTCGTGATCCGCCCGCCTCGGCCTCCCAAAGTGCTGGGACGACAGGCGTGAGCCGCCGCGCCCGGCCCCCAACAGGTAATTTCTTATCCCCAACATTGCCTTTAATATCCATACTTCTACCAAGTGTCTTCTAGGCTTTTAAAAGCATGTACCTCAAGTTTCTTCCAGTCACTTCCCATTACCCAATTCCAATGCCACTTCTGCATTTTTAGAAATTCGCTACAGTAGAACCCAACTTCCCAGTATCAAAATGTGTGTTAGTCAGGGTTCTCAGAAAAACAGAATCAATCAAGAGTGTACATAGATACCCACGCACATGTATATAATATATACGTAAAAATCTTACTAAATATTATATATGCTATATGTTATATATGTTGTGTGTTTGATATTATTTGGCTCTGTGTCCCCACTCAAATCTCATCTCAAAATATAACCCCCACTTGTCCAGGGAGGGACCTGTAATCCCCACATGTGGAGGGAGGGAGGTGATTAGATCATGGGCACAGTTTTCTCCATGCTGTTCTCGTGATAATGAGTGAGTTCTCACAAGAGCTGATGATTCTATAAGTGTTTGACAGTTCCTCCTTCACATGCTCTCTCTCCTGCTGCATTGTGAAGAAGGTGCCTGCTTCCCCTTCTGCCATGATGGTAAATGTCCTGAGGCCTCCTCAGCAATAGGGAACTGTGAGTCAATTAAATCTCTTTCCTTTATAAATTACCCAGTCTCAAGTATTTCTTCATAGCAGTGTGAAAATGGACTGATACCGTGTTGTGTATTATTTATTAATATACATACACCTACTCCCAAAAAGAAAGAGAGAGAAGGAGATATTTATTTGAATGAATTGGCTCACATTATCGTGGGGATTGGCAAATCTAAAATGTATAGAACAGGCTGGCACGCTGTAACCTCAAGCAAGGAGTTGATGCTGCAGGCTTGATGAAGAAATTCTTCTCCGGGAAACATCAGGTTTTGCTCTCAAGGCCTTCAACTGATTGGGTGAGGTCCACCCACAACATCCAGGAGATCTTAAAAGTTAACCACATCTATAAAATGCCTTCACAGCAACACCTAGATTTGCATCTAATAAAATAATGGGGTACTATCATCTAGTCAAGTTAACACATGAAACCAACACACATTCCCAATCTAATGAGACCTCCAAGAATCAAAATCTTGTGTCTAGGTTTTATTGATCATTATTTTACTTATTTTTAAGATTCGACTGGCCTAAAATGGAATTATTATGTGAATTTCAGGGCAGCAGAATTACTTTTCCTATCAAAGTTCAGAGATGAATACAATGGAAATAACAGAATAGTACATGCACAAACAGCTAACCTGTCCTGGCTTCTACAGCCTCAATAGGTAAGTGGATTGAAGAGCAGTAAGAGAAAGGCCCTCCTATCCAATATGCAATGGTAGACTGTCCATGTGTCAAAAGCCATGTGTCATACATACAGGAAAGTACGCTTGATTTTTTTTTTTTTTTTTTGAGACGGAGTCTTGCTCTGTCACCCAGGCTGGGGTGCAGTGGCACGATCTTGGCTCACTGCAAGCTCCGCCTCCTCCCGGGTTCAAGCAATTCTCCTGCCTCAGCCTCCCGAGTAGCTGGAACTACAGGCGCCTGCCACCACGCCCGGCTAATTTGTGTGTGTGCGTGTATTTTTAGAGAGATGGGGTTTCACCGTGTTAGCCAGGATGGTCTCGATCTCCTGACCTCATGATCCACCTGCCTCGGCCTCCCAAAGTGCTGGGATTATGGGCGTGAGCCACCGTGCCCGGCCTGATTTTTTTAACTTGGCTTTTTAAACAAATCTTTATTTCCCCTGGTTACAAAAACAATGTGCTCACTTTAGATAATTTGAGAAAGGCAAGGAAGAAGAGAAGAAACATCATTTTTAATTCCACTTCAGACATAGCCCTTCCTAACACTTTAATGCTTTAATGTATTTTTTCAAGTATGTTTTGCTGAATATGCCTGTATATATTTACATGTATACATATATAATCCAGAAATATATGTGGGTATACACAGACATGCACACACGTATAATTCAAAACATCATGAAACCTTACATTCTGGTTTAGCGATCTCATGTTTCTCACAAACAATTATCTCTACTTATTTGTAAATTTACTTATTTGTGGAGAGATTAGATCCTTCACAACATCCAATGTGTATTAAAACCCATATTCTAGAACAGATGTCCAGAGACTATTAAATAAAAATTCATTTTTCATTCCAAGTTGCAAGATTTAATAAGATCAGCAGATCTACACACAGAAACCTCGACTAACTACGTGAGTCTAGTATGTTTATCTCCACAAGACTGTGGCCTCTCACTGTCATTTACGCACATTTCCTGCAATTCTGACATCCTGAGTTTGCTAGAAGGATGAGAATCTGTATAGGAGGACATCTCAAACTCTAGTTTCCACCACCGAGGTAACCTCCTGTTTAGATACCCCACATTCACATTCTAGGCATCAGGTTCTAGAATAGCTGTAATATTACTTAGCAACTATATGCAGCAATAACACGACTGACTACAAAACAATCTGATGAAAAACCTAATCACTAATTAGTCAATAATTGGTGAGTATCCACTAATATGTGAAACAAGGTCATTCCTAATGGATTTTAAAGAATCACAGCATTAAGGGTCACGAATCAGTTTCAACGAGCCTAGAAACTGAGGATGCAGAACTCAAAGCCTCTCACTCGTGTCACTGAGCTTCTTGGAGCCATAAACAGGTCTGAAAACGAGGCCTCCCAGCGCCATGGGGAGCGCTCTTCTTCCTCACCTCCTGTCCCAGATTGCATTTGGAGGAACACATGTCTCAAAATACATTCTAAACAAAAGGGTTCTGTTGCAAAGTAAGCCTAGCAGCTTCTTGGGTTGTTAGCATACTTGCCTCATAAGAGATCCCCAGTTAAATAACCTTTTTTAACCAGCGTTTTCCAAACCTCACTTATCCCAGAACCTAGAGCCCCAAAGCTTGAGTATTTGGGGTAAGGAACTGGTTTTAGAATTTGCACATCTAGGAGGAGGAGAGGGTAGGATTTAGTTTCATCTTTCTTTTATATTTTGCTATTTTAATGGCCAATTCTTCCACAATCAATGTAGTCAATCATGCAGTCTGTGCTTATTTACATAATGACAGAAACTAGAGAGAGAGATAATTCAAAACAGCAGGTTTTAAAATAAATAACAAAGAATTGGCTTTGGAGTGAGTTGTTGAACTGATATTAACTCATAATGAAGTAGGCCTGACGGGCCAGACAACGGCCCCAACACTCCAGCAAGCTCAAGGCCTTGTGAGCAACCATGGAAGGCGGTGGGAGTCTTTACGCCTGGTGGCTCCACATAGAAATAACAGGTCCTTTATCCCAAGGGTCACATAGAACACAAAAGCCTCAATATGAAGACATCACTCAGGTTAAACAGAAGAATCTGTCTCTCCCAATTACTCCCAAAAGTCTGCTCCGACTTGGTAACACCACGTCTTTTTAAAAGACAAAACCAAGAATGTTGTGATATGCTCAAAAACTTCACTCACTCTTTTCCTGTTTTAAAGAGTAAAGGCTAAAATCTGGAGTGGTTCTTAAGGCTCACATCTGACCCAGGCCCACATCTGGCTCTGTTGTTTCTCCACAGGGAAGCCTCCATCACCCCCGCTCTTTCCTTCCCTAGTCCACTTGCCTGCAGTGACTTTCTCTCTCCTTCTCAGATATGGTGTATCGGTTTCCAATTGCTGCGTAACAAGCATGATATAATGGCTTATGACCACAAATGTGTATCTCCCTGTGGTTCAGTAGGTGAGAAGTCTCACGTGGGTCTCCTGGGGATAAAGCTAAGATGTCAGCAGAGCTGCTTCGTTTCTGGAGGATCTAGGGGAGACTTCACTTTCTTATCTTTTCCAGATTTTAGAGGTCGTTAAATTCCTAAGGCCATGGCCCCTTCCTTCATCTCCAAATGCAGCAACGTTGCCTCTCTCTGACCAGCCCTCCAGAGTCATCTCCTTCTGACTCTCTTCTTATGTCTCCTTCTTCTGTTTTAAAGGATCCCTGTGATTATACTGGGCCCACCCAGATAATTCAAGACCATCTCCCTACCTTAAGGTCGGCTGATTAGCAACGTTAATGCCAATGTTAATTCCCTGCAACTTTGATTCCTATTTGCCCTGTAAAGTAATGTATTCACCAGTTCTCGGAATTAGGATGTAGAAATCTTTGGCATTGGGAGGGATTATTTTGCTAGTACAAATGACAAGAGCTCTTTACTTGTGAAGGTTCTGTGCCCCTGTAGTGTTTGTTTATTGCTTCTATTATACTTCTCATCACAGACTTATTTGTACTATTACTTACTTACAAATGTATCCTCCACTTCATTACAAGTTCCTTAAGAGCAGGGACCACTCTTGAATCCCATTTTTGTCTTCTGAGGCCAGGTCCAGTCATTGGCACAAAGAATTTTTTGATGACTGGCATTTTCCCTGACTATTGCAAATTCTGCCTTCTGTGTAAGTTTCTTGCTTAACTTAGAATCAATTAGCAATCTGCAGCCAAAGCAAATGAAACTGGTGTTCACAAAGCCTTCACTTAGGAGATTAAGTGGTAAACATCTTAAATTATCAACACAGATCAAAGAATAATCCCAATGAACACTACAATTTTATAAGATCTCTTTATAAAATAAACCCAGAGGTTTTCCAGGCCCATAATTTCAAATTGACTTTAGCAAAACAGCTTAACTTTAGCAACAGATCCGTGGCAGAAGAATATTTTCACACTTTTCCTACAAGTCTTTTTAAAAATTTGAAGAATGTGTTAAAATTCAGAAATAAATGATAAGAATGTATCTGCAGACAAGACCCAGCAGGAAACAGCACACCATACTGACTGAGTAAAGGGAGTTTAACGAAGGGGGCATTTCTAACTATGTGGGCAGAGTTTAGGAATGGCAGCAAGGGGTGATGCAGTATCTCAGGGCTAATGATGGTGGGGGGTTCTTACTGCTCTTTGACCTGAAGGGGAAAGGGAAAGGAGAAGTTACTGCAGCCCAGAGAAGGGAGCCCAGTGGGAGCCGTGGCCAGGTAGGGGGACTTCACTCTTCTCATTGCCTCCCGCCTCCTGCTGATGTTTCCCTGTAGCCCCAAGTAGGCAGAGGGAAAAAAATAATAGACAAATCATAAGTCAATAAAATAGAAAATGCAAAAACAAGACAGAAAAATCAATGTAAACAAGAGCTGATTGAGAGGCTGAACAAAATGAATAAACCTCTAGCCAGACTGATCTGGAAAAAGAGGAGTCACAAATTACTGACGGGAGGAATGAGAGTGGACCTCTCCATAGATCCTACAGACATTGACAGGATGGTTAGGGGACATTAGGAACCACTGTGTACTAATAAACTCCACCACTTTAGATGAATAGGCAAGGAAATGTGTTTCCTTGAAAGACACAGGCTAACAAAACTCACTCAAGAGGAGGCTCCTTGCCAGCTGACTATAACATCTGACTGACAGTATGTACTATATCACACTTTGGTTAAGGAAGAGCCCTCCAGGCCCCACTAGAAAGGAGGTAAAGAAGGAGGAGGAGGAGAAGAGACCTGATTAGAAGGTAGGTAAGCAGGTTGCATGTAATAGGCCCATTCTAACTTCCCCATTTTTCCTGGAACATTGGATAGAGAAATTCCAGAATTTGAGCCTCCTTGACTCCAGGTGACCATTGAGTCCAGGCTTCACTCAGCCAACCTAGTAGACTCAAGCCAACACATTACATTCCAAATCCTGAGTGTTTATACCTACCTCAATAAATACAGCCCAATCACTGCTTCCATTTGATTTTTACTAGTCTAACACCCTTAGATGGCATCCCATAATACTCCCCAGGCTCCAGCAGATGTACACTGGCAAGATCCTGTAATTCTCTTGGTAGATAGACTATCTCCTCCAAAACCAGGATTTGTGTCTCTCCATCTGGGCTGTGTTGGGATCTAATCTTATTATGGGCCTGGTGGCAGTTGAGGTGGTAGGGGCTTACAGCTGAGGGGAATGTGCACCTGTTTATGAGCAGATTCCCCAGGTGTATTCTCTGAAGGGCATTTATACCTAGAGAAGGAGTTGCCTGAAGACAAGTTCAGGGAGAATTGGAGTTTTAAACTTCTTAGCCTTTTACATGTCTCAGTCTCCCACCTCTCCCCACCCAGCCATTACCTGAGAGTGAGAGCCGTGGGGCTGTGCCTTCATCGAAGCTGCAGCTCCACAGCCCATACATCAGGCAGAGCTCAGCCACATCTACCATGATGGCAGGAAGTGAGGAGCTCCCACTAAGCTGCCAGGCTTTCTCACTGTCTAAGTGTGCTCTGAGTAAAACACAAATAATACTAATCAATAATAATAATCCTCACAATCTCCAATTTCTCCTTTTCTCTGTATACAATGTCTAGTGTCACCAGAAACAGCCAGCTGACCTCACGATCCTTATCTCACTTTTGCTGTCAAAGCAACCAGGACTGTTGCCCTTTGATCCCATCCCTAGTCCCTCCACCTGCACTTCCTCTCATGCCACCACTGAGGACAATTCGAGAAACTGATGCTACCGTGTGGAACAGCTTACCAGGGCCTCATCTCCTGCAAAGTTATTTGTATACTTCTCCACTATAGGAGCAACCCAATGCCAGAAGTCTTTTTAGAGGGTTTGTTTTCTGGGGCCATTTCTGGTACCAATGACTGTCAGTCAGATGTTATAGCTGTTACACTTAAATGGAGTAATTGAGAGAATTTAGTGAAGAAGCTATTTTAAAGGGTCTGCACAACAATGGAGATACATAGATGACAGATTATTGACAGATTGATGACAGATAAATGACAACTAAATAATATATAGACAAATGACATAGATGATAGATAATAGATAGATAGATAGATAGATAGACAGACAGATGGCATGGAAGGGGTTTGGGGAAATCTGTTAGGGATAATGAGGGATCCAATTATGTTACAACAGTATGAGAGCTACCTAGAGAAAACTGTGGCCTTGACAGAGACACGCAGTCAAACCAAGGTCCCTGGATGGAGCCAGAGGAATCAGCAGCCCAACCCCACTCTTCTCACCGTGCCTCCATAAAAAGCCACACTGATGAGGAGCATGTGGGTTACCCTTCAGAGAGAAGGGTGGAGCAGGGACCTGGAGGCCCAAACAGTAGATGCCCAGCACATGATTCATCCAAAACCTTGCCTTGCCAGACCACTAGGTCACTCAGTCACTGAAGCTTCCCTCTGACTCCAGCTCACTTTCTCCCATCGTGACCCACACAGTCCTCTGATGCTCTAACAAGGACACCAAAAGGCAAATTAGTATTCACCTAATTTTCATTGTAAATGACTGTCTTGTTAGTGAAGAGGACCCTCTCCTGCATCCTGTTTCCTTAGAACCACCACTGCTGTCAGTAAGCTGGCTAATCCAATAAATCCATGTGTGTTCGTGAGGTCAATCATGGTAAGGACTTCCTGCATTGTTTATATCACACAAAAGACCAGGGCAGACAGTGCTCCACCCTGGTGCTCACTCCCCTGTTGATAGATTTCTCAGTGTAATCCCCTTGGGAATACCACTATTCTCTGTCCTTTAAATAACTGTACTGTGCTTCCAAAGTTAATGAGATCAAACACATTTAAGCATTTTATTTAGAAAAGAATCTGATGGAAATAGTAACTCAATACAATGAAAACAATACCTTTGTTTTTTCAGTAGGATGCACATCTTTAAAAATTCCAGTGTTATATTTCTTTTAAAAATCTTCCAACTTAGGATAAAATTTCATTGGGAATTATCATAACCTGTCTTTAAAAAATCATGCTCTGGGTCGGGTACAGTGGCTTATGCCTGTAATCCCATCATTTTGGGAGGCCGAGGCAGGTGGATCACCTGAGATCAGGAGTTTGAGACCAGCCTGGACAACATGGTGAAACCCCATCTCTACTAAAAATACACAACTTAGCTGGGCGTGGTGGTGGGCACCCGTAATCCCAGCCACCCGGGAGGCTGAGGCAGGAGAATCATTTGAACTCAGGAGGTGGAGGTTGCAGTGAGCTGAGATTGCACCACTGTACTCTAGCCTGGGCGACAAGAGCGAAACTTCATTTAAAAACAAACAAACAAACAAACAAAAAGCATGTTCTGGAAAGTTAAGTAGTCTGACTCTAATGAAATAGGACAGTAGGAAAAAAATGCTTAGTCACCATAAAGCATAGAATGATGGAGATTTTGTAAACCAGAAACAGCAGGACATTTAGAAAACAAAACTGGCTGAAATGGAAGATGCCTGGAGAAAATATTTGTCTCACCCAATCAAGAAATCCATGCCATATAGCATTAGGGTTAATTCTGGGTGAAACTGTGAAATAAGCAAAGTTGATATTTGATGATTTCATTGTTGGGCTGATCTCCAGTTATTAGCAAACCTTATTTTTCCCCATAGACATTGCGTTTTCTTCCTCTCATCTCCTCTTTCTTCTCCTTCTCTTTCTCTTCTGTCTCTCTCTCTCCTCTTTTTCTCTCTCTCTTCTCTTCTTCCCCCACCTCTTTCACAGTTACCACCCTAATCTATCTGTTCTCACTCCATTTATATTCTAATTTCAATAATCAGGAAAGCATCTCAGCAATTCCTTCACATTGATGGGAAAGTGACTAACAGATCTCAGTATGTTACTATTTTATGAACTGTTACCATTTCACAGGTGACAATGGCTTTTTAAAACTCCAGGCCAAACTTATATAATTGGAATTTAGGCAATAATAAGTGGAGTGAGGATGTTCCTATGATTGAAGGTGGGCTACAACCTTCTGGTCAACCAACCACAACACATATCAAGTGCCTCCTTTGAGCTAGGCACTCTGCCAACAGTTGGAAACGCAAATGTGATAATACGCAAACTCAGCTAATTGAGAAAGCTCTCACAATGCAATCTTCTCATAAATGAACCAGGTACAGACCATTTCACCAGTAAATCGTTTCAAATATTCAAAGAATGTATACTTCTAATTCTATTTCAACTCTCGCAGAACATTGAGAAAAGTTTCACACCACTTTTATCATTATGTGAAATACTTATATTGAAATCTGAGACAAATAGCACTAAAAAGAAAAATAAATATAAGGTTTTCAGTAGTAGAATGGCTGTTCACAGAAATTACCCAAATGCAATAAGAAGAAACAGAAGGGCAAACGCAAATTCCATCTTTGACACGACCAGCATACAGCTCTAATTCCTAATCACAATATTTGAGAATGGGCTGCCAAATGTCCACCCTCGAAGATATTCACCAGCCTTACTGATGAATGGAGATGAAAACAATCCTAGATAAATGAAACTGAGCAGTGTTTGTCCAAAACGAATTCATTATAGTCAAGTAGAGTTTGTGCCAGCAATAAAAATCTATTTGTAAATGATATTAACTAAAGAAAAATTGTCTTATCTCAATAGAGGCAGAAAAATCATCACTAAAATTAAACATTCACTTACAATTATAAATAAAAAGAATGATTTATAGCTAGTAATAGAAGATATCTCTTTTGATAGAAGTCATTAAAGTAGGGCAACATCATGTGTAATGATGAAAATGCACAAGCATTCATATTAAAATCAGAAATAAGGCAAAGATGGCTGCTATCATTACTCCTATTCCACCTTGGACTGAAGGCCTTAACCATGTAATATAGCAAGAAAAAGAAATAATAGGCATGATAATTGAAAAGGAGTTGATACCTTGCCTCATAGAAAACCCAAGATAATCTATGGAAAGACAACTATAATGAATAAGAAAGTTCAGCAAGATTGCAGGATTTTAAAAAGCAACTCGCAAAATAACTGGCATTGCAGTATGCCATAATAAAATTTTTAAACGGAAAGGAAAAATGATAGATACAAAATTTCCAATAACAACAAAAACTGTAACTGACATAGATTTGATCTAGCAAAAGTTATAGGCCGGGCGCGGTAGCTCACGCCTGTAATCCCAGCACTTTGGGAGGCCGAGGCAGGTGGATCACCTGAGGTCGGGAGTTCAAGACCAGCCTGATCAACATGGAGAAACCCCGTTTCTACTAAGAATACAAAATTAGCTGGGTGTGGTGGTGCATACCTGTAATCCCAGCTATCGGGAGGCTGAGGCAGGAGAATCGCTTGAACCTGGGAGGCGGAGGTTGCAGTGAGCCGAGATCGTGCCATTGTACTCCAGCCTGCGGAACAAGAATGAAACTCCGTCTCAAAAAAAAAAATGTTTTAAAAGGCTTTTTTTGTCATTGATTACCAAACATTACTGAAAGGCAAGAATAATTGAGTAATTAGAAAGCTGAACTATACCCATGGATGAAGAGACTCAAAATCATAAGAATATCAATTCTCCCTTATTTAAAATATAAATTAAAAGCAATTACAACATAAATTCTAATAGGGTATTATAGACTTTGGCAAGATGACTCTTGCCAATATGGCCTCAAGTGGCCTTGTTCAAGCTGAAGGCTCACCTCTTGCCTTCTACGTCACTTGCCAGTATGGAATGTGGAAAAATTGAGGACCAACAATAGCTAAGAAATGTTGAAGAATGAGGAAAAGTGTGGGCGAAGGATTACCCAGGTGCCGAGGCAAGAGACTGAAGGCACAAACTGTAGCAATATAATAAAGAAAATAGTTAGAATAAAGAATAGTTGTAATACAAATTAGATATAGAGATGATCATGGACAATTATCAATCATTAGTATAAACCTTATTAATCATTAGCTTTTAATATTACTCTTTGTTGCATTACTAATATAACCTAGGAATAACCGGCAGATATAGGGTCAGGTGCCGAAGGGACATTGTAGGAAGTGACCTAGAAGGTCACTACTAGGGCGGCCCTATCTGAAATGCAATGTCTTCTGAAAACCACACTCAGCACTTCTACCTGTCTTCAAAACAGTCCAACGAGGCAATGCGTGGACACAAATGGGATGGTTCACTTAAGATAAAAGACCAAGTCGCACTTCCCAGAGGAAATTGAATCCAAACCCCCATTAAGCAGTTTTGTTCTCTCAAAGTTTCTCTTCCCTGACAACTATCTCAACCCTTGTCTTCTCTTCTCTAATAAGACCTAATCCAAATATTAAGCTCTTGTCCTCACTTTGCAAAACCCACTCAGGAGAACAAAACCCCACAGTGAGCCTTACAGTGGCAATCTATCATCTTCTCGCTAGCAGTGCCCTTAGGGACCTCATCTCCCAGGACAAGCAGCCTCTCACAACACACCTCCCTAGGAGAGGGAGAAAAGATCTTTTCCCATTCTGTGCATACACAACTGAACTTGTTTCCAAAGGGTTTTATGGAAGTCATATGATTAAATACCCACTGCAACTACACATCTACAGTTGTGAAGATACAAAAATGCACTGAACTCACAGATGCCAAAACAAGAGCACTGAAAAAATAGAGGAATTATCCAATATGCCATAGCTAATGGCAACATTTATACCATAACTTAGTCCTCTGATAGCCCAACTTTCTTCCCACTAAGGAGCTCTGCCTCCCAGCAAGGACCAATGTTTCTGCTTGCATTGGGTCCTTAGTCTTTATTTTCTCATCCATAAACTGAAGCTGCACCTTATCCTTGAAAATTGTACAAGGATCCATACTGTGAACGTGTGCATACTTTGTGTTTCGCAGAGGAAATATATTTGATCAATACAAGGTGTTTCTCTAACAACGATCTATGTTTTGACCTCTGATATATGTCAATGACTGTTGTCATACATTTCAAAGCAAAATGCAGCCCAATATTGTCCTGGTAAACCAGGCATGTAAATTAACTCAGCCATAAAACCTTTAAAAAAATTAAAGGAGGGGGCTTTGGCAACTAGATTAAAATACGGAACCACGTAAGTGTTCAGGCTGTTGGTGCTCCTTACTGCCATCCTGTATGCTACTGTCATGACATTGACAAGCCCGAGTGGGACTGGTGACTCTGCTATGGGCTAGTAGGTATTTTTAACCCTTTCAGATCATTCGTATTAATTTATCTCAAACTGCATCAGCTCAAAGAGAAGAAGAGGAAATTGAAACTACCAGCTGAGATCAAGTGGATAATCAGTCTCACCTCCTCCCTCCCTTCTCCCAGCACTTTGCCTATCAGGATATACTGTGGCAAACTGAAGCAAAGGTATAGCCAGTAAATCATTTCACTTTACAATGTGACTGATTCCACTGTGCCAAGAGAAGCACGACATCTTAAAGCATAGGTGACAGTTGGTGAACCCAGTGGCATTAACTTCATGCCCAGGAATCTGAATTTGCTGGGTTTTTTTTTTTTAAATACAGAAAACACACTTGAAATATATGTGTCTGGCAGGGGGGTAAGATTGGCATTAAGGTAAACAACTAGCAAATTGTTCGTAGCAATGAACTGGTGCAGTGCCTTTTCATTCCAAAACTGTAGAAATTAGAGACTG
Source organism: Homo sapiens (assembly GCF_000001405.40). Taxonomy (NCBI): domain Eukaryota; kingdom Metazoa; phylum Chordata; class Mammalia; order Primates; family Hominidae; genus Homo; species Homo sapiens. Next base: position 748,413 of record NC_000006.12, on the reverse strand, counting down.
TTCACCAGATGTTGTTTAAAAAAATAGATTTTTAAAAACTAATTTAACTAGTAAATTGCTAAGAGGTACATTCTGGTAAGTCCTCTTTTAGTTGAAAATGTCTGTGTCTTGTTAAATGTTTATTGAATAGTGTAATTATATTGCTTTTGCTGTTAAATGATATTGACATTCTTGAATAAGAAAGATTTTTATTCAGGCAAGATGAAATGTGAACATCTGGCAGCAGCCTTATGTGGAACGTTGAAACAAACAAACAAAAATCTTGACCAGCATGTTCCTTTTTTTTTCTTTTTCCCTTTCCCAAGTTTTCTGGATGTGACTCACATCAGAATATACTTAAACATGAGGACCCTGTCACTTACCATAGAAATGTTCAAAGTAAATGCTTAGCAAACCGGTGGCTGCCGAAGATGAGGTCAATTCACCCATGAAACAACTGTTTCTCAAACAATGAGCCGGCTGCTTGGTTCACTTCAAATTATTGTGAGAGTAAAAAGAAAAAAAATAATTTTTAAAATACGTGTAATATAATGGCCATTTGTCATAATATTACGAGAAGCTTAATATTTTATATAACGAATTTATTTGGCCTCTAAGACACCACAAACGGGTAAGAAATTAATACCTAGGTGATATTGTTCTGCTTGCTAAGGGGCTTTTTCTCTACACAGAATGTCTTAGTTTTAGGAATATCTTGATTTTATCCACTAGATGACTGACCCTCACAAAGTGACTGTGACTAGGTCACAGGAAGAGGCTCAGCAGAGTGGCTGGCTCTCCACGTTCCAGCACATTTCTTTCTTCTCTTTCCCATTTCCCAATGTGTAATGGAGCACAACAGAAACTTGGCTCTCCTGCACCCTGAGAACTCTTCATTAATTTAACGGCAAGATTTTGATTCACAGGGAAAAAGAAGTTGCCTATAACCCCGAGTGTTTCCCAAGGAATCTTCTATGCAGAACTTTTGTTCTTTTAGGTATTCCTGTCAAAAAATAGATTTAGACATCAGAGCAAGTAAAATATAATCAAATGCAAATGTCTAACACCAGCTGTATCTACACAGCAAAGCAACAGTTGTCAGGCCAGTTCCCTTCATCCAAGCCCAGCTCTGAAGGCTTTCGTTCCTCTGAAATATCCAGAGTGGTTATCAAGAATGTCCCCAGTTGGCCAATTTCTCAGCTTCCTGTTTGCTTTAGTGGCTTCCTCCCATACAACTATGGCGTGACAAGACATGACCAGAGGTCTCGCTCCTGCTTTTCCGCTCATCCACACAAAGGCTCTTCTAGTTTGTCAAGAAGGCCCTGGGCAAGAGGGGAGATCCAAATTCTATAGTCCCTGAACAGATCTGAATCTAAACTATCTCCACTATCTATTAAAATAGCCTGGGAATCTCCACGGTCTTTAAAATAGGCCTGGAAAGATGAAGAGAATTGATAGGGACATTCAAGTTGGGGAATAGCATAGGAACACAAGTGTTGGTGTTCACAGGGTGGTGAAAAACGAGTGGCTGAAGCCAGTCAGAGCACGAGTTGTGTTCAGTCTTGAACATTGTGTAGGTGGAGGGTGGAAGCAAGTAACATAAGAGAACCACGTGTATAATGGCTTACATTAACCTGGCGAGTGAAGACTACTGCAAGAAGCTTGGCATGGCTGAAGCACAAATTTTGGATAAGAAGAGATTTAACCAGCAATAAAGAAATTAAGTAGGCAGGAGTCAGGTAATCAAGTCCCTGGCAGGCTGTGAAATTTGAATTTAATCCAAGAGGCAATGGTACTTTTGACAAGGGTATAATATGATCAGCTTTGTGTTTTAGAACGATCACCCTTATAATTTTAGAAGAATGGATTGGAGGGATAATAACATAAGGATGAAGAAACAACATGGATAGGAGAAATTCTGCAAAGTTAGCATACACAGGCCTCCTTGCTTGATAGAATGGGGATGGTGATGGAGAGCACCTTTGTGGTTTCAGTCACTGTCTCCATGAAGATGCTGGTCTTTTAAACTGGAGGAAGAAGATGGAGCTTGGTTTGAGATATGATACCCCCAGAGTTTCTTATGAAGCTGTATAGCAGAATCCCCAGTGGAATTCATGAAGGATAACTACAGAAAGACAGAGAGAAAAAGAGAGAGAGAGAGAATGTATAATGTATATATACACATATATATGCATATATATAAATTATTTGATTAAAATAACACATGTTCATTTTAGAAAATTGATATGCAGCTGGACTGGATATTATAGATTCAGTAGTTAAATATCTTAAGTAATAATCACCATCTAACTCATATGTGGAGCATACATTTCAAAGTTAGTATATAATAAAATGCATTTAAAAGTAGAACTGAACTGTATTGATGACGTAGTTTGACTATCATGAACTAAGGATGACCTTAAAAAGCCAAGTTACCACAAGAAAGAATAGCTCAATATTAACTATGCCAAAATCTAAATTACATTCAAATGGGAGACACTAAGTAACACAGAGTTAAGCCAGGTTAACTCTTTAACTTCATGGAAATATGTCTGCAGCTAGCTCATCTTGGCAGGCCCATTACAAAAGAGCTGCACAAGAGACAGATCCTCAGGTTCATCTACAGTTAAGGCAACTAACTCTACCCCTAGGATTTTCCATTTTCTCTGCATGGAATTCCAGGATCTCAAATAATAATTGCTCAAACACATGAGCAAATCAAAAACTCTCTTTAGGAAAAAAAAGTTGAGTTTTTTTTTCTTTTTCTCTATAACTTCCATTGGGAAGTGAAGTGGAACCTTCTTGGGACAAGAATAAAAGTCAGGACCTGCCATTTTCTAACTTTGAGGTTCAGTGGTACATGTGCAGGTTTCTTACACAGGTAAATTGCATGTTATGAGGTTTGGTATTCAGATTTAATTAATTCATCACCCAGGTAAGAGGCATAGTACCCAATAGGTAGCTTTTCAATCTTCACCCTCCTCCCACCCTTTACCCTCAAGTAGGCCCTGGTGTCTGTTGTAGGATCTGCCGTTTTCATAAAAGATCATAAACTTTAAGATTCCTATATTAGCATCTGATGTCCATGGAAACTCCTCTCTCTCACGCACATAGAATATATGCACCCCAGGCACCTCAGAAAACTGCTCAATGTTTTCTTTGTTTAATGAGGTGTAACTTACATAAAATGCACACACCTAGACCTGCATCACTGTTTGAACTCTTACATGTGTATACACCTGTGCAATCACCAAGGCAAGACAGAGAACATTTTCAACATCCAAAAATATTCCCCATGTATTTACCCAGTAACCACTGACCTGGACACTACAGATAAACACTGTTCTGACCTCTGTTGCCACAGAGTTGCTTTGCCTGTTCTTGAAATATAAGTGGAATCACACAGTATCTTTTTTATCTGGCTTCTTCTGTTCAATACATTGTTTCTGAGATTCATCCATGTTGTTGCATATGTCAGTAGCTTGTCCCTTCTTATTGTGTGGTATTCCATCATATAAATATACCGCAGTTCATGAATTCGTCTTCCTTTGATGGACGTCTGAGCTGCTTCCAGTTTCTGGCTCTATGAAAAAGCTGCTGTAAACATTCTGGTGCATATCTTTTGGTAGACATAAGCACTTCTTTTGCTCGGATATTACCTACAATGGGTATGTGTATGTGTAGCTTTGGATGTACCGTAAAACAATCTTCTAAAGTGGCTGCACAAATTTATGCTTCCACCAGCAGAAAATTTCATCGTGACTTACACACCATCTCTTTCTATGCTACTGTGGACAGAAGTAACATTATATTGGAATAATATATGAGCCATGCCAACTTCTCCTTCTGCTAGGTCATTAAGTGCAGACCTTGTTTCAAGCTAAAGCACCAGAAACGCTTGCCTTTATTATACTATTTTTGATGCTCCAAAGAATATCTCATTGTATTTTCTTAAAAATCCATATGTGAAATAGACAGAAGAAGTGTGAGAATTTCTCATTGTTACGACAGACAGCTGAAGGATCCTTCAGCTTACTCAAAACTAAAGACAGTTGGATTTGGTCATTTAAACACATTTTAATTTTTTTATTTATACATAATATACATATTTATGGGGTACATGTAATAGTTTGATATATGCATATAATGTGCCGTGATCAGATCTTGGTATTTAGGATACCCATCACCTCAAACATTTATCATTTATTTGAGTTGGCAGCATTTAAAATCTTCTCTTCTTGACATTTTAAACATATAGCCAACCTCAAAAGTAAGAATTTTAAAAATCCTTTGTGCCTTAAATTAAAAAGGACATTAAAATTAGAGTACAATATTGGAATTGACATCAAATAATCTATGCAAATATTATAATAAATGCCCAAAGTAGAGAAGCCTACACACTCACTGAGAATCAAGAGTCAAATGTTCACATCGATGCCTCCAATTGATCTTGTCCCAAGGTAAACTACTTATCTTGTGGATTTCCAAACTTAGTGAATTTCATTCACCCAATTACCCAAGCCAGATTCAGGGATTGGCAAACTTTTTCTGTAAAGACTCATACAGTAAACAGTTGAGGCTCTGCAGGCCAGATGGTCTCTGTCACTCAACTCTGTCTCTTGCAGTGCAAAAGCAACCACAGACAATGCATAAATGAACAGCCATGGCTGTATTCCTATAAAACTTTATTCATAAAAACAGGCAGCAGATCAGATTTGCACCAAGGGTTATGGTTTGCTTACCCCTGCTAATTAGGGAATCTAGGCTCCTCCAACTTATTTAATCCTTATTAAAAATTGCACTATAACCAGTTCCCTCTTCTAATGCGTTAACTACTCAAATTTATGATATTTCTGAGTCTTTCCTGTTATTGTGTATACTTCATTCACTTTCAGCCATTGCATAATATTTTGATGTGTCAACATTTTTTAAAAACCTGTTTATCCGTTTTATCGTCAATAAATATTTGGGCTGTTTCTACTTTGGGACTTCAATTTCCTCATCTATAGAATATAATACTATCTACTTTATATGTTTTTATGGATTAAATAAGACAATATATGTCAACTGCTTGAAAATGTGTCTGACACATGATACATCCAATAAAAAGTTTGCTATGATTGTTGTATTATAGTTATGTATGGATGCCCTGCTCCTACTATACTGCTATTTAACTGAGTTTGAAGGTCATGTTCCTTCACTTTCTTATTCGCAGGACCTACTATAGTCACTCAGTGAATGATTATTAAATGTTGAAAATGAATGAAAAATTTAGGAGAAAATTAAATATTATCCTTATTTAACACACACATGCTAAGGAATTCCAACCAAAATCTCAACAGGGCTTCTGTGGAATTTGATAAAATAATTCTTAAATTTATATAACATAATGAAAGACCAAAAACAGATAAAATACTTCTAATGAGGAAACTGAAGAAAGTGGAGGGGTATACCCCATCAGACATCAAGAATAAATATAAAGCTACTGAAATTAAGAAAACGTAGTATTTATATAGAGATATAAACGTTGAAAAAAAATAACAGAAAAGAGAGCCTGAAAGAGGTTTCTGCATTTGATGAACTATGATAGTTGTTGGAGATGGCATTAAAAATCAGCCAGTGGGAAAATTGGGGGCTAATTAATAAATGGTGCTGGGGCAATTAATTATCAGTATGAAAAAAATAACATTGGATCCCTACATCACACCATAAACAAAAATCAAAGGCATAAATATATGAAACAATTCTCTAAAATTTTTAGAACTATAAATATAAAACTTAATATATGCTAAAATTAAACATTTCTATTAATCAAACGGCACTCCTTAAAAGGGAAATTATGTTGGTAAACTAGGAGAAATTATTTGCAATCCATACAGGCATACCTTTTTTTATTGTGTTTCACTATATTGTGCTTTGCAGATACTGCTTTTATTTTTAAAAATTGAAGGTCTGTGGCAATGCTGCATCCAGAAAGTCTACCAGCGCCATTTTTCCAGCAGCATGGGCTCACCTTGTGTTCTTCTGTCACATTTTGGTAATTCACACAGTGGTTCAAACTTTTAAATTATTATTATTTCTGTTATGGTAATCTGTGATCAGTGACAGTTGTTGTTACTATTGCAATGGTGCCACAGACTGAGCCCATATAAGAAGGTGAACTTAATTGATAAATGTTGTGTGTATTCTAACAGCTCCATCAGCTGGCTTTCCCCATCTCCTGCCCTCTCCTCAGGCCTCCCTATTCTCTGAGACATAATAATATTGAAAGTAGGCCAATTCATAACCCTACAAATGGCCTCTAAGTGCTCAAGTGAAAGGAAGAGTCATCTCTCATTTTAAATCAAAAGCTAGAAATAATTAAGCTTATTGAGGAAGGCATGTCAAATGATGAGAGAGCCTAAAGCTAGGCCTCTTATGGCAAAAAATTAGCCAAGTTCTGAATGCAAAGAAAAAGTTCTTGAAGAAATTAAAAATGCTACTCCAGTGAACATTTAAATGATAACAAAGTAAGACAACCCTATTGCTGATATGGAGAAAGTGTGAGTAGTCTAGGTAGACCAGACCACAACAAACCAGCTACAACATTCTCTTAGGCCAAAGCCTAATCCAGAACACAGCTTTAACTCTCTTCAATCTTTTGAAGACTGAGAGGAGCTGCAGAAAAAAAGCTGCAGCTAGACTGAAGCTAGCAGAGGTTGGTTCATGAGATTTATGGAAAGAAGTCGTTTCTAGAAAGTACAATTACAAATGAGGCAGCAAGCGCTTTGCAGAAGCTGCAGCAGGTTATCCGGAAGATCTAGCTAAGATCACTGATGAATGTGGCTATGTGAAACAACACACTCGGAAGATCTAGCTAAGATCACTGATGAGATCACTGATGAATGTGGCTATGCGAAACAACACATTTTCAGTGTAGGTGAACCAGGCTTCTTTTGGAAGAAGATGTCATCCAGGACTTTCACAGTTAGAGAGAAGAAGTCAACATCTGCTTCAAAGCTTCAAAAGACAGGCTGACTCTCCTGTTAGAGGCCAATGTATCCAGTGACTTTCAGTTGAAGCCAGTGATTATTTACTATTCTGAAAATCCTAGAATGCTTAAAAATTATATTAAAACTACTCTGTCTGTGCTTTATAAATGGAAAAACAAAGCCAGGTGACAGCATATCTGTTTACAGCATGGTTTACAGAATATTTTAATCCCGCTTTTGAGAGTAACTGCTCAGAAAAAAATATTTCTTTCAAAATATTAACACTCATTAATAAGGCACCTAATCACCCAAGAGTTCTGATGGAGATATACAAGAATATGAATGTTGTTTCTACACCTGCTAAAACAACATCCATTCTGCAGTCCATGTATCAAGTAGTAATCTCAACTTTCAAGTCCTACAATCTCAGAAACACATTTTATAAAGGCTATAGCTGCCACAGACAGTAATTCTTCTAATGGATTCGGTCAGGCAAAGTGAATTGAAATCCTGGAAAGGATTCACTGTTCTGAATGCCATTAAAAACAGCTGTGATTCATGGGAGGAGGTCAGAATATCAACATTAACAGGAATTTGGAAGAAGCTGATTCCAGCCACTATGGATGACTTTGAAGGGTTCAAGACTTCAGTAGAAAAAGGAACTGCAGATGTGATGGAAATAGCAAGAGAACTAGAATTATAAGTGGAGCCTGAAAACGTCACTGAATTGCTGCAATCTCATGATCAAACTTGAATGGATGAAGAGTTGCTTCTTATGGAGGAACAAAGAACATGGTTCCTTGAGGTGAAATGTACTTCTGGAGAAGATGTTCTGAACATTGTTGAAAAGACAACAAAGGATTTAGAATATTAAATGAACTTAGTTGATAAGGCAACAGCAGGGTTGCTGAGGATTGACTCCAATTTTGAAAGTTCTATGGTGGCTAAAGTGCTGTCAAACAGCATCACATGCTACAGAGAAATCTTTTATGAAAGTAAGAGTTGGCCGGGCGCGGTGGCTCATGCCTGTAATCCCAGCACTTTGGGAGGCCGAGGTGAGTGGATCATCTCAGGTCAGGAGTTCGAGACCAGCCTGGCCAACATGGTGAAACCCCATCTCTGCTAAAAAAAAAAAAAAAAAAAAAAAAAAAAAAAGACTACAAAAAATTAGCTGAGTGTGGTGGCATGCGCCTGTAATCCCAACTACTCAGGAGGCTGAGGCAGGAGAATTGCTCGGACCCAGGAGGCGGAGTTTGCAGTGAGCCAAGACTGTGCCACTGCCCTCTTGCCTAGGGGACAGAGTGAGACTCCGTCTCAAATAAATACATAAATAAATGAAGGAAGAGTCAATTGATACAGCAAACTTTATTGTTGTCCTATTTTTAGAAATTACCACAGGCCAAGCCTTCAGCAACCACCACCCTGATTGGTCAGCAGCCATCAACATTGAGGTGAAACCCTTCACCAGCAAAAAAATTATGACTTGCTGAAGGCTCAAATGATTGTTAGCATTTTTAGCAATAATTGCAGTATGTGTGTGTATATATATAATATATATATTTATGTATAAATATATAATATATAAAATACCACATATATTTTTATATCTATACACATTTTTATATATACAGCATTGAAACATATGCTATTTCACACCTAATAGACTACAGTATAGTGTAAACATAACTTTTCTATGCACTGAGAAACCCCAAAATTCTCAGTCGTATTTTGAGATTTGCTTTATTGTGGTGGTCTGGAACCAAACCTGCAATATGAAGGTATGCTTGTAAAACTGAACAAATGATTCATATCTAGAATATATGAAGAAATTCTAAAAATGAAGATGAGGACAAATGACCCACTAGAATTATGAGTAAAAGATTAAAACAGGTGCTCCACAGAGGAAGAAATACATATGGCAGTGCCCTCAGCCTCAGTAATCATGGGAGTGTAAATTAGGACCACAGTAAGAGGCAAAACCTGGCAAGAGTTAAGAAATCTGGGCTGGGTGAGGTGGCTCACGCCTGTAATCTCGCACTTTGGGAGGCCGAGGCAGGTGTATCACCTGAGGTTAGGAGTTTGAGACTAGCCTGGCCAACACGGTGAAACCCCGTCTCTACTAAAAATACAAAAATTAGCCAGGTGTGGTGGCGGGCACCTGTAATCTCAGCTACTGGGAAGGCCAAGGCAGGAGAATCATTTGAACTCAAGAGGCGGAGGTTGCAGTGAGCTAAGATTGCACCATTGCACTCCAGCCTGGGGGACAAGAGCGAAACTCCATCTCAAAAAAAGAAAGAGAGAAAGAAAGAAAGAAAAGAAAGAAAGAAGAAAGAAAGAAAGAAAGAAAGAAAGAAAGAAAGAAAGAAAGAAAGAAAGAAAGAAGAAAGAAAGAAAGAGAAAAAGAAAGAAAGGGAAAAAAGAAGGAAGGAAGGAAAGGAAAGAAAGAGAAAGAAGGAAGGGAAAAAGGAAGGAGAAAAAGAAAAGAAAGAACGAAGGAGAAAGAAAGAAAGACAGATCTGACAATATAAAATGTTGCAGAGAAGGGGACCAACGGGAACTCTTACAGACTGCCAGTGGAAGTGAAAGCCACTTTGGAAACCAATTTAGCATCATCTTATAAAATTTAACATTTACCCAATGACTACCTATATGCCATAGATAAAGTCTCACACATGTGTACCATGAGGCATGTAAAGAATGTTTATAGCAATACTGTTCAGAAGAGCAAAAAACTAAAAACAGCCCAAATATCCAATGGTAGGAAAATTGGTACATTGATTTTCTTTCTATTTAGACAATGGACTACTGTACAACAGTTTAAAATAAATTAATTCTACATGACATGGAAGACTCATAGAAATATAATATTGAGTGTAAAAAGAAAGTCTCAGACCACTTAAAATTATAATTATCAAGCCCAAAAAAGTTGAACAATATATTGTTTAGAAATGTAGACAAACAAGATTATATTTTTAAGGTAAGAAGATGATAAAAATTTAAAAATTGAGATAGTATTCACTTCTGGCACCTAAGAGGCATGCGTGGGGAAATGTCAGTTACTGGAAACACTGTTGGTTTCTGTGTGGCTTTATATTCTGCCACTATGCATCAGTTTCCATATGTGTTACATATATTCTTTAATATCAAATATTATATAAAATTATAATTTAAAAATTAGAGAATGAATGAACCAATCTCGTTGGTGGGATGCCAGGCAAGATACTATTATTTGTATCATACAGAGCTTAATCTCCTGCTCAGGTTTGGGAGGGAAAAGCAACACATTCACCAGCATAATGGGGAATAGATAATTCTCTCTGGGAATATCTTGGAGTGACCAGATTTTCCCCAGGGAAAACCAGGCTTCATTTCGGTATGGAAGTAAGAAAAATTGTTTTAAAAAATATTCAGAATATAGAGGAGTTCACTCAAAATTAAACAAGAAATTCACAAAAGTAATCAAACTTCTATTTAGATAAGGAATTATAACCACATGCGAAAGCCCAAATTATAGATGCAAAAAAACCATGCGTTTCCCTTGCTTCCGTATAGTTGTGATAATATGCTCTTCTCTTTAACCTGGTCTCCACTTGCTGATAAGGAAGTAAATATTTTATTAGATCATTTCTTTGCTAATTACAATTTTAAATCATTACAAACTTTAGTTGACAGTCCTCCAGCTTATCAAATGAACTGTAATCAAATGCAGTAATTAATATACTTCTGCCAGAACTTCAAACCCAATGAAAGAATTGTGTAAATCAACTCACTTTTCTAAGCTTAAGTGTAGAAAGAATGTTCCCTATCAGCTAAGTTTCATGAGCTGGAGATACATTTATAAGTACAAAGGTACTAAAGTTTTAATATGAGGTGAAAATTGACATAGAATTTTTCCCACTAGAAACTTCCTAGGCTCTTTCTAATGTGTTATATCAGGAAAAACAAATAATTGTCTTGCTTCGATGCTGTCATGAAATTGGCACTAGAAAGAAACATGTGACTTTTAAAGCGATTTGGTCTCAGCAGCACCTAAATTCTCTTTGCTCTCATTCCCCTTACCACATTGTAGCATCTTTAAAAGATCTCTTGTTTTTCCCCGTTATAGAACAAGAACATTCCGCTAATGGTGATGCCCTGAAGCTCACTGTTTCCCTCATCATGAATTATTGAAGTCATGTGGCCTGAAAAAGTGCACACTGGGTAAGAAGCAGCCAAAGCTATGACAAGGTTTTCTTTTCAGAACTGGTTATTATGCTTAAAGCATGTGATTGAAAATCTAAGATAAGATAGGGTAAACTGAACGTTTACAGAAACCACTCCTGGTGCACCACCATTAAAAGAGAAGACGTAGGAAGATCTAGTACAATGCGTGACTGAGCTGGCAGAAGGGAAGGGAGCTCCGAACAGAAAGTCCTTATCCCAGGAAGTAAGCAGGTGTTCACCAGGGCCGGGCTGTGCCTCGGGGCCTATGCCCAATGCTGGTGGCCGAGCTCCTGGATTGTAAGGGGCCACCCCCCAGAAGAGAAGAGGCAAAACTGGGACCTGAACAGGCTGGATTAGATCAGAGCATAGACATATCTACTGGGGAGCAGTGGCTCCTTCGAGTTAGGCGGAAACACAGGGGCGGAGAAACAAGCCGGAGCCTCCCACGCTCCCCGTGCCGTGTTACTGTTCAGTTGCGTGGTGGGTACACGGGGCGTACTCTTTCCATGACATTTTTTAGTGTAATATGAAATAACTTTGCAGACGTCAAACCCATGTCAAAATATCAAGGGCAATTTCAATTCTGAAAACAATTTTTGTTGCCCATAAAAAGCACAGCTGGGCCGGGCGCGGTGGCTCACGCCTGTAATCCCAGCGCTTTGGGAGGCGGAGGCGGGCGGATCACGAGGTCAGGAGATCGAGACCATCCTGACCAACACGGTGAAACCCCGTCTCTATTAAAAATACCAAAAATTAGCCGGGCGTGGTGGCGGGCGCCTGTAGTCCCAGCTGCTCGGGAGGCTGAGGCAGGAGAATGGTGTGAACCCGGGAGGCGGAGCTTGCAGTGAGCAGAGATCGAGCCACCGCACTCCAGCCTGGGCGACGGAGCGAGACTCCACCCAAAAAAAAAAAAAAAAACAAAAAACAACCACAGCTAATATGTTTTGTTTTGTTTTTGAGACGGAGTCTCGCTCTGTCACCCAGGCTGGAGTGCAGTGGCTCGATCTCCGCTCACTGCAACTGCCGCTCCCGGGTTCACGCCCCTCTCCTGCCTCAGCCTCCCGAGTAGCTGGGACTACAGGCGCCCGCCACCACGCCCGGATAATTTTTTGTATTTTTAATAGAGACGGGGTTTCACCGTGTTGGTCAGGCTGGTTTTGACCTGCTGACCTCAGGTGATCCACCCACCTCAGCCTCCCAAAGTGCTGGGATTACAGGCATGAGCCATCACGCCCGGCCAGCTAATACGTTAAAATATCTGTACATCTTATTTCATTGCAGGGGACATGCTTTAATGTCAGTTTCATAATCATCCTCCTCCTGTGCCTCATCATTACTTGAAAAAAATCAGAGAAAATGCTGAGCCATGGCTCGTTCGATTAACTAAAGCTCCAGTGTCACGACACTCAGTGCTTTGCTGTCAGTTTCTAACAGATGACCCTCTCATCATCAGGACTAGTTGGGAATAATTTGCAAGCTTTCAAAAATCAAATTCATATGTCCAATGCAAACAGTGATCAAAAGTTTTATTTTAATTTTCCAATCTTTGGAAAAAAATTCCAATCCCAGCACTTTGGGAGGTCGAGGCAGGTGGATCATGAGGTCAGGAGTTCGAGACCAGCCTAGCCAACATGGTGAAACCCCGTCTCTACTAAAAATATAAAAAATTAGCCAGGCGTGGTGGCGGGTGCCTGTAGTTCCAGCTACTTGAGAGACTGAGGCAGGAGAATTGCTTGAGCCCAGGAGGCAGAGGTTTCAGTGAGCCAAGATCTCACCATTGCATTCCAGCCTGGGTGACAAGAGCAAAACTCTGTCAAAAAAAAAAAAAAAAAATCCAAAGAAATGCAAAATATTTTAAGCAATAGCCTCTTAGCAGACTATGTGTTCAGCCTCCCAAAGGACAACTCTGAAAAGGCCAATATTCACTGGAATATCAGAAACCTTGTGGTATGTTTCTAAAGAATTGGTTTCAAGTTGTTATACCCAAGTGGTGCTTTATTAATGAAAAATTGTCTCTGACAATCCACAAACTAGTTAGAGAAAATGCCAGCTATTAAAATATTAAAGTTAATTCTTTTTGAGTATTTGGAGAAACAAAAAAAACGTGCCATTTGCAATTTTAATTAGATTATTTTAAAATACAATCTGTAGCCTTGAGACCTAGCATCCCAGGGTGTAATCTAAACTCAGAGTCGACCCCACTCCCCAGTAGCTGTATTCTTAAAGGAAGACCTCCAATCCAGTTTCTTCGGCCTCTTGGTTCTTCCCAAACAACATCAGGCATAGTCCACCTCGGGACATTTGTACCTGTTGTTCCTTTTGCCTGAATCACCCTTCAGCCTGGTACCCACAGGGCTTAATGGCTCATCTACTCGGCTGTTTGGCTCTTTTGCAAACTGTCTTCTTTTTTCTGTGAGCCATCCCTACTATGCTGTTCACCACTGGACCCCTTCCTCCAGGATTCTCAATACCCCATTCCTTCTTTATTTCTCCGTACTAGCGGTCACATCTATATACTGTACTTTTGCATATGTTTTTATTTTCTCTCTCTCTCTCACTGGAAGGTAAGCCATGTGGGTGCAGGGATTTCGTGATTTTGGTCACACTGTGTGTTCATGTCCAGCCCCTCGGAAGTGCACCTGGTGTGTGTCAATCTGCACTAAATGTACTTGAATGAATGAGTGAAAGGAGGCTGCCTATGCCCACCTATCTCAAACAATTATAATGGGGACGCTTACAGGTAAGAATCTTTGAAAGTGAGCCCAGCCTTCCAGTCACCTTGGTTATGAGGGTCTACCAGCACGGTGACGGCCGCATCCCCAGCCACCCCCTGGCTTCCTGGCTGCGCTGCCCAATCAGAATTAGAGAGCAGGGCACACTTGCGCAAAGAGTTTCTCCTTTTGCCCACTCTCTGAATCAAACAAGCATTATAGAAACATCCCTCATTCCTATCGATCTTGCCAAAACCACCCAAAGGATGTTTCAGCACCAACTCTCCGAAGAAGAAGGCTTTCTTCACACAGCTGTCTTTCTCAGGTTGCTTTCCATGTCTGTTTTTCTCTCCCCATGTACAATGCTTAAGCCTTCAAGTTCTGTGCATTTCGTCCGATGAGAGATTTAATTACTCGTATTTTGAGTGGTACATGTTCACTACAGGAACGATGAAAGGCGCCTGGAATCCTCACTGAGAGCTGTGAGCAGGCAGTGGTGATGATGGAAGTGAGCGGGACTGGGGGCTGCGTGCGGCGGCACCCGTCACCCAGGCAGGAGACCCCAAGCCCACACAGCCATCCATCAGCTCAGAATCCCCCAGAGTATCAGATGATTTCATTTTCAGCATGATCCTCTCTTAAAATGCTCAGTGATAAAATCTTAGCGCAAACATTCAGCATTGAAAAGCCAATTGTTGTTACTATGTTTTTCCTCCTCTGTGTGCTACTTCTGAAGAAATAAGGTGGAATTGTTCAAACTGAAAATTGTTTCCTTGTACTCTGACATCCATCCATAACTCAGTTTCATTGGCTGGCACAACGGTAAAATGAATATAAATAGAATAACCAACATTTTCTCCTTTAACACACTGGTTTCTTGGCCATGTTCCAACCAGCTATTAATCCAACACAATTTACCACATTATGGAAGCTGAGAGTGCACAGGCATTGGATGACAATCACACACAGTGGAATGGAAACAAGATGATATTACTAACCAGCCACTGCTCGGCTTCCAAATCAGACAGAAACGGTAAAAAAAAAAAAAATAGCTTCCCTATTTATCTGCAGATCCAGTGTGTGATGGTTACTGTCATTTGTGCTGAGGGATTCAAAAGAAAATATAACATTTTTTTCAGTTTATTCAATAGTGCTAATTACTCAAACTCCAGATGCAAAACTAACCTCCTACAGAATCTCCTTGATCTACACAGACACGTCTATATCCTGGATGGATGGGGCTCATTTTACGTATGACTCTTGCGCGTGACTTCGAGTGCACGGAAAATGCCATAGCCTCACTTTTAACTAAGTGCATGCAGAAGGGAACATGCTGTACACAATGCTGCCCGCACTTGAGGTCCTCTCATTCCCCTCGTAGTTCTCGTCATCTACATCACATCATCTGTACTTTCACTTTTTAATAGTTCCCTTTACATTCCATCAATAATTTTCTTTACAAACCTACTTTTGTCTTCATTCCAAGTAATAAAAGTCATCAGTTTTAATCATTGCTTCATTTAGCAAGTATTTATTTGAGCATCTACTTTGTGACACACATTCTGGGGAGCTGGAAATATAGCTGTGAATAGGCCAGACAAAGGCCCTATCTCACAGTGGTTACATTTTAATGGAGAAGAGAGTCAAAAAACAAATAAATATATGACATTCCCACACATGTGAAGTTCCTCCACATTCTATCGCAAGGATCGCACGCAGTGTTCAGGGACCCTTCGTTTGTGAGATGCTAGTTCAGTGCTTTGAACCCAGGCTCTGGAACCAGATGCTTGGGTTTTACTCCCAGTTAACTAGCTTATTGCCTGACACAGCTTTTGCAAACTACTTCACCTTTCAAAGCTTCAATTTCTTTGTCTAGATAAGCAGGATGCTGATAGTTCACTCACAGGGCTATTGTAAGTATTTAGTGGGACAATGTATATGTAATACTTAGCAGAGTACTTCATAAATAATAACTAGTAACCATTGAATAACTGTGAGCAATATAATTAATGGTGACACCCAGTTCTTCTCACAATAACCACAAACAGCACTATGTTAATCTTATACATATATGTGTTAATTTTTAGTTACTGCTGTCCTCACCCCTAAGAAGAACCAATGTTTTTCTTTTTTATACTGGGCATTTAATAAACGGAATTCACATATTGAAATATTAACTGCTTTCCCATCTCAATTGGTGGTGGTATTGGTTCCCAAATAATTTTAGTGCTTCAGGTTGAAAGTTCCAGGAAGGTTTTTTTTTTTTTTTTCTCTCACAGGTGAAATAACAGCTGGAACTTACCAGAATTCTCCTCCTCAAAGAGTCTGCATGCAGTGGCATAAAACTAACACAGGTGCCCCAGCATGCTGACAAAGAATAAATAGAAGCACATGTTCTGAAAGGTCCATAAGACTTTGCTTCTTAGAATACTACTTATAAAACGTGGTCAGCTTTGTACTGCAAATTGGCTGACACCTCACACAGAGGCACCGCTGTTGATGTCCGCGTGACCGTGCCACCTGGATTCCCTTATCTCGTTTATTATTATTAACCGTTTCAAAAACACTTTGGAGATTTAAAGAAAGGGATAGATTGTGATCTCTGCTCAGAGTGTGGTCCTGCCAGGAGGCCAAATGACTTTTTAAAGGTCCCTTTAGTGACATGGTATGTCTTAACTGATATTTTCCTTTTAAAAACAACTGTCCTTTAGGGGGGCGCCCAGAGAGGATATGAGGGATTACATTTGAATAGAAACTTTGGAACTCGCTTTCCTATGCCCCTTTTTTTTCAGGGAAGAAATCCTCTTGGAATGTGGAAAAGAAATGAGTTTGAGCATACTAAATCCAAGTAACACAATGCTGATCTCTCTCAGCCACAAGTCAATACAATAGCAAAAGCCCCAATAATGTCAGACTCGCCGTCAGGAGATGGGCACAGTGACACGCTGTGCCTGCATGAGATGGATGGGTGGTCTGGAAGACGTGATCCTCCTGTAAAAACCAGCGTGTATACACACACATGCTTATAAAACTTCTCGGAGGAGGCCTTCCAAGGAATCTCTGTGCTGCCACCTCTGATTCCTCCAACTGCAATGGAAGAGCTAAGTTCCCAAACTTTCACGAAGAAATAGCAAGTACTGGGCTTCCCTGTGCTTTCCTGACTTGAGACTCACTTGACCAACCAAATCAATCACCATCCGAGGGCAGCCTCCCCAGCCGAATGCTGCACTTCCTTCTAGTCATTGACATGGGGATGGCCCCACTTCATAGATTCTCCAACATGAAATTCCGTCAATTGAAATGCCATCAAAAGACAGAATTTCAGAGTCGAGCTGAGCCCAGTGAGTGGGTTACCAAGGTCAATGACAAAATCGTTCACTGCAGCCCAAATTTACCCGAGAGTTCTTGCAAAGTTCTCACTTAGGTTGACAATGTGTAGATCTGCAGAGTTAAGCCAAAGTTAACCTAGGCTTGTGGTAGTAAAAAATACTAGAGAAAGTCCAAGGACACAGTCTTTCCAACCTGGTCTCCTGAGTCTAAATGACACGCTCGTGTCAGAAATGCTTTGGGGAATTGGTAAAAGGCTAGATTTCTCTACCCGGACTCTTTCTTCTTCTAGACTCTTATACTAACTGAATCAATCCACATATTAAAAATGTAATAAGTGCCCTATTTATGGAAAATTTTACAGCTAAAATTGTAGAAATAGCATGGTCAGACTATTTTATGAAAGAGCCAAAACACATAGTAAATTAAGATTGATTTGCATGAAATGTTGCAGACATCCAGATGATATTAAAAAAGGAAGCAAACTTTGTTTGAACTCTGTAGCTGTTAGATTAGATTATCCCCCTTTGTCTGTACTCTACTGCTGTTCCCAATTTAACACCTGTAAATTGGCATGGAAATTGTATATAAAATGTACATTTCATATTGCAAAGGTAGGAAGTTCAAATTGTGTGAGAGTCAG
This sequence comes from Homo sapiens, assembly GCF_000001405.40. Lineage (NCBI taxonomy): Eukaryota > Metazoa > Chordata > Mammalia > Primates > Hominidae > Homo > Homo sapiens. The sequence continues at coordinate 730,579 of NC_000006.12, read as the reverse complement.
AATTGTATTAGAAATTCTTCAGCTCATGCCCTTCCCCAGCCTTGAAAATGTGGGCAATCCATTTTCTACTAATATCGTTTCTTTTTTGTATCTCATAGTGTTTGGCAATAGTCAACAAAGGTGGTCTGGAGAGCCCAGTGGCATTGGTGGGACCATAAGCCATGGTGAAGAGATGGAACAGATTGAGTTTGGACTTAACAGTCTTCTAATTCCCTATTTAAAATCAAGTTCTCGCTCTTAGGAATTCTCCATGTTTCTGTTGAACAAAGGGACAAATTGGATCAGCCCCCTGGGAGCTCCAGTGATTCTGGACTCTTGAGATAAATGGTCGGCCAGGTCAGGGAAGGTGGGGCTGGCTTCTCTAAAGTAAGTAGGTGGAGTCTCCCGGGCTGTGCTTTAAATGCCGCATTATATTAGCTTTCTTCTTTCCACAGATGGACTTGTTGATTCACTGCTAAAAGAGTCAAAAAGCTAAGGTGCCAATCAGAGAAATTATTTCCCAAGGGCACTTATATACAGATCCTTCCAAAATATTTCAGGAACTGGGGCTTTCCAGCAGGAGTGGTGAGACTTTGAAATCATTCTTGCCAATGTGCCTTTGCTCTTTTCTACTTTCTTGCCTGATCTCTCTCTCTCTCTCTCTCTCTCTCGTTTGTTAAGATGCAGGAGTACGGAATCAGATGCCCACAAAGTGCAGAGACATGTTTCTGAGTGTTACCGGGAGCCAGCCAGGCAGAGCTGCAGTGTGGGAGCCCGGCCTCAGAACGGGACACCCCACCATCGATCAGGAGACTGGCTTCTGCCCATCTGCTCTTTAAGCCTGTGTCTCAGATGGTGTGAAATAGGGATCACCCTGAGAGAAAGCTGTCACTGCAAGATTCCGGGATACACTGCCTTCATTTTTATAAATGCATGCAATTAGCTATGACTTTTAAATTGGCACCATGGTGAACAAGCATGTCTCAAGCATACATGCCAAGTATTACAAGCCGTTTTTCAATGGCTTCAACTTCCTCAGCTCCAAAACCTTGGATCTCACTCCAACTCAGCATCTACTATTATGTTCTGTGTCTCCATTATATTAGATTTGCAGGAGGTTAACGAGAAGCACAGCACATAATTCACATGAATAGGCTTTGAAACCTAAGTGTGATGAAAAGTATTATTATTACTGTTATGCAAAGTCCTTGCAGCAAAAATTACATTATCCTTTTTCCAAATATATTGTGAACCTATTGCTGCGCTAGAATTCAGATCTAGGCTTTCTTAAAACTCCATTTGTGATGCTTGCACTTACTTCATAAACTTCCTTGGGTATGAAAACACTTAAGTTTTCTTTTCTCCCCAATGCCCCAGGCAGTTGACAGGTGGATAATGACATCAACAGGCAGGTGGCCATCAAAGACTCAGGGTAGGTGTGTTTTTGTGAGACCCCAGGTGGTTGATTTCTGTATGATACCTCTCCATAAATGTGAATTTCCTATTCTTTATTTCTTAATCTTAATAAATCACTATTTAAATAACAAAACTTAACATTCAATCGTTATTTTAAAGATGACTTTTTAAAATAACTCAAAGAGACAAAGGCAAAAATTCCAACTAATTTGCGTCTTTTCCCCATTTTTCTGCCATATGTACAACTTCCAGTTCAAGGCTCACTTTCCTCTGGCATTTGTTGCATCTGTTTGAGCTTCCCAATAGCATCTCTCACGATCAGCTCAACTCCGATTCGGCGGCTATAGAATGGTCAAGGGCTGTACATGGCTTTAGCTATTCACCTGGAAGGTCTTTGGTGACTGGGTGTTGATTTGCACCTCCACAGACGTGTGGTAGGAGAGACGCAAGGAAGAAACTGACAAGGGGATCCCGCTGGAGCAGTCCTCCGCTGTCCAGTTAAGAAGTGGTCATTTCCACTCCGTTCTTATGAGTTCCCACCACCTGTTAGTTCCTTAACGTTGCTAGGTAGCCCTAGGGGGCAGCCGGATTTGTGTATTAAGCTCATTTATTTGTGCCTTTACTGTCGGCAACAACCTGAACCCACAAACTACTTCACAAAGAAAAGTCTGAGCAAAATGTAGACAACTCTTAGGACAGGTCTTTGCCATCATTTGATCACACCGTCTATCAACCGATGCTAATCTTCAAGTGTCACCTGGTCTTCCAGGGCAGGTTCCGGTAACGCAGTACAGCTTTGGCATAACTTCAGAACAAGAAATCCCAGTGGATCGTAGCTATCTACTTATAAATTATAATTTTCCCCTATGTAGAAGAAAATATTCAAGACCTATATAATTCACATACTTAGAAAAGAAAACAACTTATTTTTTTCCCTCTCTCAAATTGCCTGGAGGTAAAAAAAAAATGCTAAACGGATAATATCTTTCAACACTGAATTGATTTCTCAGCTTAATTTAAGCAAAGAAATTATGTGCCAGATGGCATAATCAACATGTTCTGTTGAAAGATTGCAATTTTATTCTTATAAGAAAAAATAAGCATTTTTCCACGTGGTCTACTCAGCAGGGAAGAAAGTTTATATATGCTGGCTCTAACAATGCCATCTTTGACGAGGAAAAAGACAATAGCTTTGAATGTATTAACTGATCTGTTTTGAAAGCAGAAATGGTACTTTGTTTTATTCTGCCAAAAGTATTACATAAGACCTATGGTAAGTAACTGGAAAAAGAACTATTAAAATGAATAGTCATGAATATAGTAAAATTTATCTTTGCACAGTTGGGCATTTTAAAGATTTTCTGAAGTGTATTTTATTTCTAATCATGAAATAACTGTATTCATTCAATATCCTGAACCACGGTGCTATAAAATCTGAATATGCCCTTGGCTCCCTCCTCCCAGGGAGGTCATTAAAAGATTTGCCTATCTTGGGGGAGATGGGAACTGCCTGTTTTCACAACTCATTCCATTTTTATGTGACATCTCTATTCCCTACACTTCCATAAAGCACTTTGCTAAGAAACTCGGCCATGAGCTAAAGAGAAAAGCATGATGTTTATAAGAAGGAAGAGTCCAAACAGCATTTGAGCACTCAGAGCTGCAAGGAGGGATGAGGAAAGGGGATGAGGGAAGGGGAGAGAAGGAAGGAGGAGGGCAGAAGAGAGGAGAGGGAACCACCAGATCACAGAGGAAGAAAAGCACAGGTAAAATAATTAGTGACCTTGCTTCTGAAAAATGAGCCCAGGCACGGTGGCTCATGCCTGTAATCCCAGCACTTCGGGAGGCTGAAGCGGGAGGATTGCTTGAGCCCGGGAGTTTTGAGACCAGCCTGGGCAACATAATGAGACCTCATCTCTACAAAATATTTTTTTTTAAGTAGCCAGACACACACTGGTGGTCTCAGCTACTTGGAAGGCCGAAGTGGAGAGACTGCTTGAGCCCAGGAGGTTGAGGCTGCAGTGAGCCTAGAGGGAACCACTGCACTCCGGCCTGAGCAACAGAGCCAGACCCTGTCTCAAAACAAAAAAAGAAGGAGAAGGCCGCCTTGCCTATGACAGGTAAATTATAGATAGAAAATATGGGGATCTCTCTGACGACTTTAGAACAATTTTTGTTTTTTAAAGACAAGGTTTCGCTCTGTCACCCAGGCTGGAGTGCAGTGGCATGATCATAGATCACGGGACTCACTGCAGTCTCAACCTCCAGGTTTAAGTGATCCTCCCACCTCAGCCTCACAAGTAGCTGGTACTACAGACACGTGCCACCATCCCTGGCTAATTTTCTTTTTTAACTTTTATTTTAGGTTCAGGAATACATGTACAGGTTTGTTATATAGGTAAACCCATGTCACGAGGGTTTGTTGTACAGATTATTTCATCATGCCAGTACTAAGCCTAATACCCAACAGTTATTTTTTCTGCTCCTCTCCCTCCTCTCACCCTCTACCCTCAAGTAGGCCCCAGTGTGTGTTGTTCTCCTCTTTGTGTCCATTGGTTCTCTTTATTCAGCTCTTACTTATCGGTGAGAACATGTAGTATTCGGTTTTCTGTTCCTGAATTAGTTTGCGAAGAATAATGACCTCCAGCTCCATCCATGCTCCTGCAAAGCATACGATTTCATTCTTTTTAATGGCTGAATAGTATTCCATGGTGTATATCTACCACTTAAAATGTGGTAGACTGGTCTGCCATTCACGGGCATTTAGGTTGATTCCATGTCTTTGCTATTGTGAATAGTGATGCAATGAACACACACGCATATGTCTTTATGACACAACGATTTGTATTCCTTTGGGTATATATCCAGTAATGAGACTGTTGGGTTAAAAAGTTCCATTTTTAGCTCTTTCAAGAATCCCCACACTGCTTTCCACAATGGCTGAACTAATTTACACTCCCACCAACAATGTATAAGTGTTTCCTTTTCTTTGCAACCTCACCAGCCTCTGTTAGTTTTTTACTTTTTTATAATAGTCATTCTGACTGGTGCGAGATGGTATTTCACCGTGGTTTTGATTTGCATTTCTCTAATGATTAGTGATACTTAGATTTTTTTCATATGCTGGTTGGCCACATGTATGTCTTCTTTCAAAAAGTGTCTGTTGATGTCCTTTGCCCACTTTTTAATGGGGTTGTTTTTTTTTTTCTTGCAAATTTTTTAAGTTCCTTATACACGCTAGATATTAGATCTTTGTCGAATACATAGTTTGCAAAATTTTTCTCCCATTCTTTATGTTTTCTGTTTACTCTGTTGATAGTTTCTTTTGCTGTGCAGAAGCTCTTTAGTTTAATTAGATCCCATTTGTCAATTTTTGCTTTCGTTGTGATTGCTTTTGGCATCTCCGTAATGAAATCTTTGCCAGTTCCTATGTCCTGAATGGTATTGCCTAGGTTGCCCTCAATATAATAAGAGCCATCTATGACAAACCCACAGCCAGTATCATACCGAATGGGCAAAAGCTAGAAGCATTCCCCTTGAAAACTGGCACAAGGCAAGGATGACCTCTCTCACCACTCCTATTCAACACAGTACTGAAAGTCCTGGCCAGCGCAATCAGACAAGAGAAAGAAATAAAGGGCATCCTAATAGGAAGAAAGGAAGTCAAATTACCTCTGTTTGCAGACAACATGATTCTACATCTAGGAAACCCCACCGTCTCAGCCCAAAAGCTCCTTCAGCTAATAAACAACTTCAGCAAAGTTTCAGTATACAAAATCAATGGACAAAAATCAGTAGCATTTCTGTACACCAACAACAGCCAAGCTCAGAGCCAAATCAGGAAGGCAATACCATTCACAACTGCCACAAAAAGAATAAAATACTTAGGAACACAGCCAGCCAGAGAGGTGAAAGACCCCTGCAATGAGAATGCAAAGCACTCTTCAAAGAAATCAGAGATGACACAAACAAATGGAAAAAAAGTCCATCCTCATGGAGAAGAAGATTTAGAGGCTACTGATTAGGAGTTTCAGTGGAAAGTGGGGTCTGAAGCCAAATTGCAGAAGTCTGAGGTGTATGTATGCAGTAAGTAAAGAGACAGCAGATAATGAATCTTCTTTAGAACACAGAGCAATTGTTTTCCTTTTTTTTTTTTCATGGAAGGGAAAGCAAGTGTCTAATATATCATGACAGCCCCATGTTGTTCTCTAAACACTACTATGCATCCTGAATTTTCTTTGAATTTTGCACTCCACTTATTTTACGTTTGGGAGATACTAAATATTGTGTATCCTGGTTTTGCAAACTGAGAAAAGACTTGAGTGCAGGCAGAAAGGTCAGGGAAGAAAGAAAAGGTGTTAGGAGGGCATGGTTGAGCTGGGTTGCCACTATGGGCAACTGGAGCTGGGTCTCACTGAGAGCTTTGGAGGAACCCAGCAGAACACACTTCTGAGGATCATCCCTTGGAAGGGCTGGAAGGTGGGAAATGTATGCTGACGTTCAGTGGGTGCTGACTCCTGCCTCCAAGGACCAAGAGTTGCTCCTAAGGGCATTAACTCCCCTGGCACCTCCACAATGGCTAACTGCTGGCTGAGAAGGTACTTCTGCTCTAGAGAAAGACCGTTGGTAAGCTGAGAGAGTCCATGAGCCCTCGGGAAGGCATGCATGGGGACTGTCCACTATGCTGCAACAGAGGTGGCATAGTGCAGGGCACAGGCAGCATGCCAGTTCCATCTAAAACCTCCAACTTGGCTAATCCTGGAATCCCTGCTCCAGGAGGTGCCATGCTGACTTTGTGCTCTTTCATGTCCCCTGGCACATGGCAGGAAACGCACACACACCTGTTTGAAAAGCATAAACTTAGAAGCTGCATATGTTGGATTCTTTAAAGAAACAGATATCCAAACAGGTGGAAAAAGCCTAGGCCAGGCACAGTGGCTCACGCCTGTAATTCCAGCACTTTGGGAGGCTGAGGCGGGTGGATCACGAGGTCAGGAGATCGAGACCATCCTGGCTAACATGGTGAAGCCCCATCTCTACTGAAAATACAAAAAATTAGCCGGGTGTGGTGGCGGGCGCCTGTAGTCCCAGCTACTCGGGAGGCTGAGGCAGGAGAATGGCATGAACCCAGGAGGCGGAGCTTGCAGTGAGCCAAGATCATGCCAATGCACTCCAGCCTGGGCGACAGAGTGAGACTCCATCTCAAAAAAAAAAAAAAAAAGAAAGAAAAAAGAAAAAGCCTAGACCTTGCAAAAACTGATTCAGTCGAAGCTCAGCTTCCAAAAGTCCAGGCTGAGACAGGGAGGGCCAGGCGGACTTCACTTGGAGATGGAAAGGCAAAATATTGCCTCCAGCAGACATACAACATGGGAGCAGATGATCAGTTCTCCTACTGGTTCCTGCCTGTAATTGCAAAGCCAGGACCAAACCCATGCCTCCGAAAAGTGAATGGAGAAATGAATACTTCCATTGTAGATATCACTGAGACAAATACTTCCTTTGCTAAAAAGCCTAAGTGGTTAATAATTCATACTTTAAACACTGTCATAGTGTTAATACAATAGCACAGGGAAATCAGTGAGAAGTGACTGCATACCCAGTTCCAAACAAACAACTTGACTGTTTCCATACCATCCTCTCTCCATGCCCAGAGGTCCTATTCAGTTGACAGGCATTACACGTTTAACATGGCTCAAAGATCAGTGATGCCCTTGATGAGGGTTATCTTTCCATGTGAAGACTAGCCATGTTCCCTCCCTCAGTCGAAACTGAACTCTGCAGCATCAGGCATGTCCTTTCTTCTTTCTGATGGAACTCATAATGCTCTAAACCCTGTGGGACTCAAAACTTAGCTGTCACGTCAAGAACATCACCTGGAAACTTGTTAGAATACAGATTTTCTTCCACTCCCCAGACTTTATGAATCAGAAACTCTGGGAATAGGGCCCAGAAATCCGTGTTTTTTCGAGCCCTCTAGCAGAGTTGAATGCAATCTAACGTTTGAAACCCACTGCTCTAAATGAGACCCTAAGGAAGGACTCAGCCATGCTACAAAGGCCAGGTACTAGGCAACGGGGCAGGCACGAGAACACATAGGGAAGGCCAAATCCTCATTCTCATGATCTTGCATTCTAGGGAGGGTATTTGTGGGGACATGTAGGAGATGGGCACATATGCTAACTTTCAATAAAAAGTTGAGAAAGGTTGACCTCGGATCCTTGGATAACGCATGAATGTTTCAGGCATCAGATGGTACTAATTTAAGGATCTGGACTGAAAGCATGGAGTCCTTGTGGCTCTGAAAATCCCACAGGACAGTGGCTAAAATTCTAATTGTCAGGATAAGTTCTGTGGTTCTGAACTGACCTGTGGTTTCACAAGAGAAATACCCACAGCTGTAGAGGAAACCACGAAGATCTGGAAACTGCCTGCAGGGGTCAACAGCCGTAATATATTCTACAAACCATCTTAAGGAACCACAGAAAATCATCAAAAGGAAGAAAAATGCATTTCTTGGCTTGGAACTTATTGAATGTTTAAAATCAGGGAATGGACTGGGTAAGAAAGGAAAGACCTCGTGGGCTTTATTTCCATAGAGAAATGGTAGTTGGACTCTATATATTCATTTCCCACTAAGGCTATTTGATAACAGAATACCAAAGAGGAGTTTCTTTCAGAATATATCATTATTGCGTTTTGCATTTTGATTTCATTTTTTCATCTCAAAAGACTTCAGGAACTTATATACCTCTGCAAAAGCTTAACAATATTCATCTTTTTTGTTTAACAGATGTGCTTTTACAAAAGAAATGTTCAAGTAAGGAGAAAACTTCAATCGTCTAACTTTAGCTTTTTGATCATTACCCTTAAATTCGCTGCCTAGGAAACAGCAACAAGTAAGTCATCACTGTTATGAAGCAAAATTGTTTACATTTGGTTTAAGATCCGCCTCCTAAGGAAAGGGCTCCGGCGGCTCCTTTGCGTGCCTGGAGAGGCCTTCGCATGCGCCCTCTAGTGGGTGCTTGGAGCTCATAAGCAAAGGGTCATTTCCAAAGTCTACAGTGGAAATTGACGCTGATTTTCAAATCCAAAAATTGGTCTATCGCTATTCTCCCCAAAAGGGACATTTTTCTTAATCTGCTATAAACATAGTGAAAAGTTGTTACTTCATGGTAAATTATTAGCACGATATTTGAATAGTCATTACATTCATTAAACTATTCTTTAAAATTACAATTATAATGTTAGTACTTGCATTATACATCGTGTTTATATAGTACCATTAAAGTCAAATGGCATTTAATATTCACAGCATAAAAGATAAAAGTATCATATAGTGATATTAGGAGGAAAAATCCTCCTGGTATCATTAGGAGAAAAATTTCTTCTAATGGAAAAAACCTCCATTCCCCAACTTTAGCTTTTTCAGCACCATCACTTGTGCTCCGTGCCTCACCTCACCAGCCGCAGGAGAACCCAGCTCCTTCTGACGGGCCCTGTCTCCTGCACCACCAGTTGGAAGGCTTCATTCCCGGCAGCAGACAAGCAAGGCTTGCTCTAGTTCAGCATAAATAACTCCTTCTTTTACCCCACATCCCTTGGAGATTCCCTACCCCCACTTCTCTACTCTTCTCCACAAAACTTTCCACCTTCTGGCCTCACATTCTCTCTCGAACATGCTCTGGTGAAAGCAGTTTTCATCTTCATGGCTCAGCTAAAATGGCTCTTATCAAAAGCACCAACTACGTTCCTCTGGCCAAATGCAGCGCTCCATCTGGGCCCTTTTCTTACTTCCTAAGTGGTATCTGTGAACGCATTTGCCAATCTCCCTTTCTGTAACATCTAGTACTAACATCATGTGACACATAACAAAATTTTGGTCAATGAGAGACTGCATCTATGATGGTGGGCCCATAAGACAATAAGATACCATATTTTTACTCTACCTTTCCATGTTAAGATACACAAACACCATTGTGTCACAACTGCACATGCTGTGCAGGTTTGTAGCCTAGGAGCAATAGGCTATACTAGAAGTGTCCAATCTTTTGGCTTCCCTGGGCCACACTGGAAGAAGGATTGTCTTGGGTCACACATAAAATACACTAACACTAATGATAGCTGGTGAGCTAAAAAAAAAAAAATTGAAAAAAAATATGTGTTAAGAAAGTTTACAAGTTTGTGTTGGGCTGCATTCAAAGCCATCCTGGGCCACAAGTGGCCTGCAGCCAGCAGGTTGGACAAGCTAGTGCTGTATCAGGTTTGTGCAAGTTCACTCTTTGATGTTCACAAAATGACAAAACCTGTAAATGATGAATTTCTCGGAGTGTGTCCCCATCGTTAAGTAACGCATGACTGCATCGGAAACTTACCCAAGCTAAACTGTAACTCTAAATCGGCACACCCAAACCTGCTTCTCTCAGTCCATGTCACCACCGTCCTCCTGGACACTTAATGCCCCTCTTTCACTCACAAACATATTCCACCTAATAGCAAATCCCAGCAGCTTAACTGCCAAAAGAAACTCTGAGCCTTCCATCCCCTGCCGATTCCTATTGCTGACACCCCAGTGTAGCAGCAACACCTCCACCCTCAGCAGCTAGGACCACCTTAAAATAGAGATAAAATCTTATCATCTCCCAGTTCACAACCCCCCAGAGGCCACCAGTCTAATTAGGATGAAACACACCTCCCATGGCCAACAAGATGCTATATCTAGCGCTTCTCAGTCCACAACACCTGAAATCCCTCTGACCCTGCCTGTAGGCTCCACCCATCTTATCTACTTTGCAAGAGCAGTTTCCTCTACATGGGATGTTATTCCCCTGCATGGCCAGCTACCTCTCATCTTTCATATCCCAGGAGTCCCGTCACTTCCTCTGTCCACTTATCTGACCATGCTACCAGAAGCACCCCTTCCCACCATCCCACTGCCCCTTTCAGAATCTTCATAGCACCCCTTTTCATCCTAAATCATCTCATTAACTTATGCCTATGTTTAAGTGTCTCCACTCACCAGGATAGAAGCTCAACAAAGTCAGAGATATATTTGTGCTCATTCAACATGATTGAGCAAATCAATGAATGAATAAATTCCACTTCTTGTGCGTGGCCAAGTGGCCAGCTCACTGCAGTGGCTGCTGGGGCTCCCTCTTCCCAGCGTGTCTCTGGGTTTACAGCTTGTTTCTGTCTTTCAACACTCCTGTGGTGCTTAGGAACCTGCACCCGTAGTGAGCATCCTCTTCATATTTTCTCCAGTTCTCCAACAGGTGAAGTGCCCTAAAGGGAAGCTCTGACTCCAATTAATCCTATTCCTGGCTCTGGTCCTAAGACAGATGACTTGGAAAGAGTGTAGGGAATGGGTTGATTAGGGCAGACATGAAACCAATATGAAGACTTTTCTAATGGTGCAGGAAGAAGGTAGTGAGTGCCTGAATGAGGGCACCGACAGTGGGGTTGCTGGAGAGGGAAGAGATTAAAGAGATACCATGATTAAAGAGATTAAAGAACATCATTCAAATAGGTATGTGAGGTTAAGTGTATTAGTCAGCTCCAGCTGCTGTGACAAAGTACCAGAGACAGGTTGGCTTAAACAACACGTTTTTGAGTTTCAGAGGCCGCAAGTCAGTGATCGAGATCAAGATCGGCATGCCTGGTTTCTTCTGAGACCTCTCCTTGTCTTGCAGATGGCGCCCCTTGCTGTGTCCTCCCATGGCCCTCATGCCTCTCTCTCTTCTTATAAGGACATCAGTCCTGTTGGATCAAGGCCCTACCCTTCCAATCTCATTTAACCTTGGTTATCTCCTTATAGGTCCCATCTCCACATACAGTCACATACTTCAACATGTGAATGTTGGGAAGACGCAATTAAGTCCATAAAGGAAGGGACAGGTTAAGAAGCATTAGTGGGCCAGGCGCGGTGACTCACGCCTGTAATCCCAGCACTTTGGGAGGCCGAGGTGGGTGGATCACCTGAGGTCAGGAGTTCGAGACCATCCTGGCCAACATGGTGAAACCCCCTCTCTATTAAAAATACAAAAAGTTAGCCGGGCGTAGTGGTGGGTGCCCGTAATCCCAGCTACTCAGGAGGCTGAGACAGGACAATCGCTTGAACCTGGAAGGTGGAGGTTGCAGTGAGCCAAGATCATGCCACTGCACTCCAGCCTGGGCAACAAGAGCAAAACTCTGTCTCAAAAACAAAACAAAAACAAGAAGCATTTGTGAGGATTTCCAAAATTACACGATTTGTCTGATTGCTTTTCATTGCTAGTACAGATGTCTTATTTATTTGCACATTTGTATTAAACACATAGGATCATTTTAGAGGGCAGGAAAACTTTCTATTACCTGGAGATCATCATCTATAGATTGGTTTTAGGACACAGAATCTCTCAATTTCCAACTCACATCCATAAATCCGTTTGTGCCAAATTGTGCACCATTCAGGTGAGTGTGCCAGTGTCACTAGTTTTAAGCAACAGAACCATCATTGCTGACTCTGATTCCTTCCTGAAAGAATAGGAAGGGAACAAGAAAACCATGGGCCTTACAGCAGTGCCAACATGAAAGTGAAGGGTTTGTAAAGCTCAAGCTTGCACGCATCTGGGCGGAGGCACCCTGGCGGCTGCCTTTCTAATACACCATCTGCACTTTCTCACCTGCCTGCTCTCCAGGCCCACTCCGCAAAGGCGTCTGACCTCACACAACACTGAAGCCTCTTGTACAAGTTGCAGCGTCCATGGCTCCAAACTTTACTGGACTTTGTGAGTTGGCCTTGCCTCTTTCTTGAAGCACTGTTTCTCTTAGAAAATGAACACTTAATTTTCTCCAACACTGTCGGCCCTTTCTTTTAACTCCCTTTGCTGACTCTTCCTCCTTTCCCCAAGCTCTCAATGTTTCTGATCTCTTTCAGGAGTCATGCTTTAAAGATCGCATCTCTATTTCTAGTTCCTTTTTCCCTGGGACCTTCAGATTCCTATGTCCAGCTCAACACCTCTGTGTATAAGTCTGATAAACATCTTAAACTGAACACTTCCGAAACAGAATTCCTAAGATTTTCCCCAAAATTCACTCCTCCTCCAGTCTTCTCCATCTCAGTAAATGGCACCAAATTCACCTAATTGCTTAATTCACCAATAATAGTAATTACTAACACATATATTCTTATTGGAGGCCAGATTGTGTTCTAAACACGTGTGTGTGTCCCATGCACACTCACAATCCCCAGTCGAAGGAGATACTATGATCATCCCCATTTTACAGATGGGCACAGACAGGTTAAATACCTTGCCCAAATTTACACAGCTAGTAAGGAGCAAAGACAAGACTTGAACGACGTAGGCTCTTATCATCTCCTAACCCTAGGGTTACGGTTAGTCTTTGCTCGTAAGCACTACTATGCTGTAATAGTTTATCTTTTTTCTCACCCTCCTCACATTCACTCCATCAGCAAGGCCCCCAGTTCTACCTGCAAAGCACAGCTCAAATGCACCTGCTCCTCACATTTGCCTCCACTCCTTTCAGAGCCATCACCATTGCAGGCCTAGGCTAACGCAAACGCCTGCAAATTCTTCTCCATGTTTCAGACTCTTGCAACCCTATAGCCGATCTCTATACACACAAATCATATCATCCTCTCTCCTGCCCATCAAAATCCCACAATTCCATCCAAACTCCTCACTGTGCAGCCCGTGGTATCCGCCCTGACCTGCTTCCTGCGTAGCTCATCGACCTCCACCCCATTGTTCTTGCCCTCTTTTTCTGTGATTGCCTGGAGGACCACTTTGCTCTTCCTGGATCACATTCGTGTATGCCTCAGGGCCTTTGCACTTCCCGGATCACATTCGTGTATGCCTCAGGGCCTTTGCACTTCCCGGATCACATTCGTGTATGCCTCAGGGCCTTTGCACTTGCTGGTCCTTTCCACTTAGAACACTTCCCTTCTCCCCTGAATTCTTACGACTTACTCACTTCATTAGGTCTCTTGCCAAATGTCATCTCCCTCAGTTGTTTCCCATGACCTCCATGTGAAATAGGCCCCCTGCCCTCCGGTCAGCCTTTATCTCCTCCCCTTGCTCTCTGCTTTCTCAGTGAATGCTGCCCCGTCGGGCATTATATTAAATATGCAAGTGCTCATTATCGCTCTCTCCCTCTGGAACGCCTGTGCTACCTCTGGGCAGGGAGGAGTGTTGCCTTGTTTCAGGTTCCTCACTAGAGCCTAGACCTGTGTCAAGCATATAATTAGAACTCAACACATGTGTCTTGAATGAATGAATCTGCTGTTTTTTGGTTTCACGTTTTCTATGTTGGGCTTCCTTTTTGCCTTTGTTTCTAAGGGAAGTGTTTTGTGGGCAGTGGAGGCGCACATTCAAGTGACACGCGCACCAGCTCTCCCCGGCCCAGACTCTGCTCGTTCCAGCGCAGACTGCGAGTGCTGCCTGCCCACCTCCTGGCTTTGTTGGCTCCTAAATAACCTTCCCCGCCTGGCAGATGCCATGCCCCCTTTTGTGTGGTGAGAATCACCTAATGATAATAATTATCATGGCTGTTTTACAACTGGCATAAAAAGAATTCATGCAGATGATGTTGCCTTTGAAAATTATAACAGGATGGACTATTAGAAGCACAACCACAAGAAAATACCCTGGCCAGAACTGGAGAGCCACAAGGTAACAATAGCACACGTGGTGCTTTCCAATACTTCCAACGACTGCTTTGTGTCACCTCCTTTCAGCCATGAGGAGCATGCTCTGAAAGATGCCACCCCCGTGAGCAGCTGGGGCCTGTGACGATGACCGGGAACACGCACTCCCTGCCTCAGCTTTTGGTGGCCATCTCTCATTGAAGGGCTTCGGGGCGTGCGGTTCAGTTTCATAAGCAATCCTGGGTCTGGGTAAACATGCTTGACTGATTAATGATAACAGCTCTTAAAACACCACAGACATTTCCAGTGCCCAGAAATGTTTATTTTTTATACTAAATTAAATTCATTTTCCTTCTCATTCCCTCTAAGGAAAATGGTGACAAATTTAAATTCAGAGTGGACTGCTATATTGAAGATGGCCATGTGCCACAACCTCTAAACAGGCTATGGTTTGGGAATGTATTTCATCAGGAGGATGGTGGGAGGGAGGAGATTTAAGGGCTGGGAAGGAAGGAGGGAAATCCTGGGTAAGCACCGTGCCAGTGAACATTAGCCCTGAGCCGATTGCTTTGCTCACAGAAGGAACGGTAACTATTTTGTATTTAGCAAATACAGTCACGATCAAAGGTAACTGATTGTGTAATAATTTAAAATATCATCAAAAATCAAATAAAAACCAAGTCAATAAAAAATAATTAAGTAATCATCATGAAGAATAATTTGTTACAGCACATAATAAATCCTTATTTATGATGGAAAAAGAAAAGGAAACAAATATTTAAGGTACCTGCTTGTGCCATGCACCACGATGCAGACAAGTAGAAAACATTATCTCCATCAGGCACATTAAAAAACTGCAGCTTAGAGTGGTTAATTTTCCCAAGGCAATAGAGGGCAGAACTAGTATCTAATCAACAGCCCCATTTTCCATCTGTTTATGCATGTCTACACTGCCTCCAATGATGACATCAACAGTAAGTACTTATTTATATGCAGTATCTATTTTATTTCTATAAATCATTCTGGCCATTTTGTGCTAACAAATTAATTACCTCTTTTAAAGAACTATATTAGACTCTATTAGTCATAGCATCCTGACTGATGTGGGTTTTTCCATATCACCATGGCTCAGGTAATTCCCACCAGCTGTAAGGTGTCCAGTGGAGAGATCCTTCCAGAAAAGCATGTCCGTCCACGGACAGCTGTCCCTGGTTTCTGGGGATTATAGCTCAGCCATATGATTCAGAAACATGCATGGACCATAGAATGAGCTGGGGCAGGAAGAGACATTCACATTATTGTGAATATCATTTTAAAACACTGAGCTGAAATAAACAATGGTTTGCAAATCAATTTCAAAGGGCAATTACATATTGCTTCTTCTCATTTTTTTGGTGACTAAATTTTTGTGAATTTAGTCACAAATGGATTTGCAAAGGCACCCATGGTCACAAATAAAACAGGAAGATGCCCAGCACAGCTGTGAACCCTCTTCTAAAGGAAAACATTTGACTCGCTGTTCAGGGTCGGCCATTACACACGTTGGGTGAATCATGATGATGATTTTGATTTTTCTACATATTGAAGAGAGGCACATAATACCTTCACTTCAGAAAATGGGCACATTTTCTACATTTTAAGATTGAGGCAGGCTAGCCATATTTATTGATTTATTCCTCAATAAGCATTTGCTGCATTCCCATTTGTGTCAAGAACTGTGCTCAGCTTCAGGATATCAGTTCAGCAAGACACTCACCCTGCCCTTGAGTAGCTCAGTGTCCAGGATAGAGAACACAGATAAAAGTGGACGAGTTATCCTTATACATGATCAGTGCCTAAATATCAGTAAAATGCTGTAAGCCATCAAAGACTAGGTAGACACGTGTGGTGATCCACAGCAACCTCCTCTCCTTCATAAAACAAAAACAGACAACAAAATACTTGGCCTAACCTAGTAAACATAATTGTATAGTTAGCAATTAAATTCTTTAGGTTAAGCCTCTTTCTGCTGTTAAGAGGAACATGTTCCTGTAAGAAGTAATAAAAACTGCACTACCAACTTTCTGAAACATCCCAGGCCTTTCTGTTCTAATGTCTCCGATCACAATGAGCCTTTACCACAAATGGCTGTTTCCTGCCATCTCTGAATGTCAAATTCTTATTCATTCTTCAAAGTCCAGTAGAAAAGCCACCTCCCCAGATAAGATCTGTGTGCCCTGGGCCTGCTTTCCTGCTTTCTCATAAATACGTTCCCTACTGGCCTATGTCATGGATATGTTTTCTGATTTTTTCTTTAGGAACACGTGGCTCACGTTGAGGCTATCTGAAGTTACCAAAAATACAAAGACAGAAAGCACATCTTCATCCTTTTTTTCTGGAGAGTCTCTCCCACCTGGACAGCTAAGTTGGGGCCCTGAATTTCAAATGAAAGCCTCTCAAGGCGTGGGTAAACCTGGCCACTGCAGGACAGCAGAGTCCCTGGCTTTCCAGGTGTGCCCTTCTCTGTCCATGCCCAGCCTGGGAAAAGACCAGACCGTCCACGGAGCACTGGAGCACACAGTACATGGGCGTCTTCCGTCCATGAACCCAAATCAGGATCCCAGTGCACATGAGGGTCCCGATTAAGGTTAAACTGTACAGAATGGAACAATACCTGCTCTGTTTTGACGACACTGGATGTATCAGTCGGCTGAGGCTGTGTTAGGCTGCAGTTACAAGCAGCTCTAAAATCCCAGACGCTTTCTGAAACACAGGTGGCTCTCATTCCTATTACATGCACCTTAGCTGTGGCTGAAGAAGCAGCCTTTATCCAGATTAATGTGGATGCCCTGGAAGAAAAAAAAAAAAAACAAAGGCAGATAGCTTCTGTCGCGCTACGGCATAGGTCACCTCTGCTCTCATTCCACTCTCAAAGCAAGTCAGGGCCAAGGCTGATGTTAGTGGGATGAGGGTGTGTCATTCCCTCAGTGGGAGAAGCCTGTCAGAGGGGCAGTGAATATTTTAACAGCAATTTCATCTACCACAACATGTGAGAAAGATTTGGATATTGATGCAATCCAGAAAGAGCAGCAGAGAGACCAGCAGATTTCTACGGAGTTTTAGTGGAAATCTGCTCATGTCACTGGCTAGTTCTAGGCCTTAACTTTCTCATCTATGAAATCAGAGGTTTGGTCTGCGTGGTATCAAGGTCCCTTCCATCTCTGACACTGAGCCCAAAGCCTTGCAGGGTGGTGATTTATTTTGGTATTTTATCAAGTGCCAGCATCATTTCTATATTTCTCAGAGACCTCAACAAGTAGGGTGCTTGGAAACATTTGCACATTTGCTGAATAAATCAGTTAAACCCTATGAATAACTTACACTGGTATGAATTCATTAGATAATTCTCTGGAAGCCACTTGGATGGATGGAAGGTGCTAACAAACGCCAAGAGCTGCCGGTATGGTGGTGAAAAGACAGAAGACAAGAAGAGAAGCAGACCGCGGCACCTGAGGGCCAGAGGGGCAGGCTGGAAGGCCACAGCTGCGCATGCTCCGTGGGCCATTCCTCCCAGAGCTGCCCTCCCTGGGAGTGAGAGCAGATGCTACGGCAGTTCACAGTTCTTGATTTTCCTGTGGCTGGAAATTCCTAAACTTACAAAATCTCAAGCCATGTATATTTTGAAACAGTGTGGGGATTCCTCAGGGATCTAGAACTAGAAATACCATTCGACCCAGCCATCCCATTACTGGGTACATACCCAAAGGACTATAAATCATGCTGCTATAAAGACACATGCACACGTATGTTTATTGCGGCACTATTCACAATAGCAAAGACTTGGAACCAACCCAAATGTCCAACAACGATAGACTGGATTAAGAAAATGTGGCACATATACACCATGGAATACTATGCAGCCATAAAAAATGATGAGTTCATGTCCTTTGTAGGGACATGGATGAAATTGGAAATCATCATTCTCAGTAAACTATCGCAAGGACAAAAAACCAAACACCGCATGTTCTCACTCATAGATGGGAATTGAACAATGAGAACACATGGACACAGGAAGGGGAACATCACACTCTGGGGACTGTTGTGGGGTGGGGGGAGGGGGGAGGGATAGCCTTAGGAGATATACCTAATGCTAGATGACGAGTTAATGGGTGCAGCGCACCAGCATGGCACATGTATACATATGTAACTAACCTGCACATTGTGCACATGTACCCTAAAACTTAAAGTATAATAATAATTTAAAAAAAGAAAAAAAAAAGAAACTATTGCAAATGGAAAGAGACTTTTTTTTTCTGTTCCTTGCTTTGTATTGGAAAGCTAGGTAAAGAACACACTCCCAAACCATTAGAATTCAATGACAGGAAATGCTGTAGTATTGCACAAAATGAAATTCCTGATTTTACTGTGAAAAGGAAATGATACCCTTTTCAACCTAACAAAAGAGTTGATTTGCCAAGAAAATGGGCTCAACTGGAAGAAGCTGACTAAGAAGAAATACACAGTCAGTGCTTTTGTTCCCATTCATTCTACCTTTGCAGATAAGAATTTTTAAAAAATCTCTCCTATGATTCCCACAAATACACAGCATTGCTATTTGAAAAATAACAAAGCACAATTTGAGTTTCATATTTGCTGTTTGGCTGGAGTGATGGCTATTCATCTTCTCTTTACCCAGGCCATTGTTCCTGCCCACATAATCACAGCTTGAAGAGCTCGCTTGTGAGTTCCTTCCTTTGCAACTGTGGTCCACACTAGCTACTCAATTAGTTCATTTCTTGGTTGTAAGAATAAATAGAATGTGTACATTTCCTTCTTGTTTACCAATGCAACCTGAAGGGGATCCAAAAATTTGGCCTGGCTTGAGAAGTAAAAAAGGTTTAGGCTCACAACAGATAAAACGTATCCCAAGCCGGGACACCACGGTGCTGCGGAAAAACCCACCCTTGATTTTCCCCTCGTCTTGTCTTCAGTTCAGCATGATGAGCTGGAAAGCTGCAAACGCTGTAGTGATGATCTGAGAAGTGAAACAGAAAGCAAGTGAGGGGAAGCAGGAGTCTGTACACATGTGCCCTGAAGAATCCTTTGCTTTCGTCTTTCCTTTTTCGGCTTTAAGTGCTCCCGTCACACCAGTGATTCGAACATTTCAGAGAAACACAACGGAGGGAAGGAGCCCGGCCCTGCCTTGTCAGCGCCCTGGAAGACCTGGCTTCCTCCCTGACACTCACTCTGGGGAGGGAAGACACCCGTGCGCCTCGCTCCCTCGTGGCCAGTGGCTTCCCCGGTGGGCTAGGGCGTGTCAGCAGGGCGTGCCCACCGAGGGAGCAACAGCGATTCCCAGGCCTAACGCTTTTCAAATCAAAAGCGCCTGACGCTTTTTACAACCGAGCAGAATAGGGCTGTTCCAGGTGGCTGACGCTTCCCGTGGCGGGGAGGGGGTTATGGAGAACGTGGATGAAGCTCATCGTGTAAGACGGGAAATGCCACTGGAAGTGAGCGTCCCTGCACCAGGCCGCGTCCCGCCCAGAGTGAGGCACGGCCGCCCCCTCGCTCAGAACCTGCAGCCCGGCCGGGCTGATGCGGGAAGCCGGCCCCGCCTGTGAGCGCGCAGTTCTCCCTGGAGACGGGCCACCCTCACCCTGTGCCTGCGTCCCCTCCCAGCCCTCGTCCCTGCTCTCTACCCACGACCCGGCCTGGGGTGCCTCGGACGGATCTCCTGCCATTTCCTGCATTCTGCAGGAGCACTCATTGAAAATTTGGGTGGCCTTGCTTATTTATTTTCCTGGAATGCAGTGGGTTCTATTTCCGTGGTATTTTCTCAGCAGTGCAGCGTTTCCATTTCAAACTACAAGAAGAAGAAGAAAAGCCAGTCCCCGTCAGCACGCAAACACACAACAGAAAAAAACGTCCCGGGTTTGACTCGCAGTCCTGCCTTTATAAATTGTAACTAAATATAAGCCACCAGAGTTGCCTGCTTTTGTCATGAGACTAAAAAGACAAGTTTACTTCTTCAGGGAAAAGGGGAAAACACAGTGATGTGCTCAGTTGCTGTGAAAAGCAAAAGACAAATCAGAGGTAATATAAAAAGTTATTTGGTACCATGGAACAATTGATGCCGAGTGTCTAAAATCATCATAAAATGGACTGAATCTAAATTTTGGTCAGATTAATATAAAAAAACTAAAATTAAAAAAGAGCTTGCTTCATCACTGTAGCACTGGGGCTTCACACAAATTTCAAAATGTGCGTGTTACACTAGCATTGTTAGGAATATGAAGGTTGACGGTGAAATATTTTATTTTCTCAAGATGCTATACCACGTCGCTCTAATAATCTACCACCGCTATAAATTTTGTATTGCCTACCATTCACAGAAGGCTCTATTTCAATGGATTCATGTAAAAACACAATTTTGGCAAAAATTAAATTTATATACCTGGCTTAGATAATTTACACCTTAAAACTGACTTTTGATTTCATGTTGGATGTATGCATCTTTAATTTCTAAACTAATGTAGAGAGAATAAATTGTTAAAATCTGATGCATTTTGCATGATACATATTTTTAAAAAGATTTAGAATGGTTGAAAATATGTACACGTTTGGTAGACTTAGTTATCAAAGACGGTTACTTTTATTCAATACCCTGAAAGTGTGTCCATTGAAAGGCAAATACATTTCCATTTTTCTGTCTTTAAAATGAGACTGAACTTAGGTCATTTTCTTAATCTTGAGAGCTACTTTCTCTTGGTTTATATGCATTTCTGCTATTGGTGTAACTGATGAGCATGGTAATTGCACATCAATTTACCTTGAAACGGAAAATGATAAGAACTTTCTGTGGAGCAAAAGGTGGCCATGTCTGTGAGCTGAAAGTAAAAGCTAGAAAAACATTTGATCTCTCATGTGGGCAACTGATTTAAGAAAGAAAAGAAACTTCATCTGTACATATTAATCAAAAAATTAATGGTATAAATTTGCTATTTTTCATTACTTTTTATAAATTGGTGATAGCACTAAACTGTCAATCAAATTTTATCTTTACATTTAACAAAACATGTAAAGGTATCTGACTTCTTGGCTGAAATAACTTATTAATGCCTTACTGTAATTCATAAATAGAATTTTTTCATACATATTTTGCCCTAAAATTAAAGGTGTCAAAGAGGGGAAAAAAATCTGTTTGGACTATGCAAATATTGCTAAGCTGAGCCACTTATTTTGAATATGCCCATGTGAGCTAAATAAGATAATTAGGGTTTTTCACATGATACTGATTCTGCATTTGAAATGCAGAATCATAAGAAATGCTGCACATATAATAATGGCAATACTTTATGTTTTTATAGATCTTCATAGACTATGAAAGTATTTTTACATATGCAATTGAGATTCATAATAATTCTCTGAGGCTCACTTGTTTAAAAAGTATATTAAACTAAATAAGAAAAAGATAAAGGAAAATAAGTTTGTTTATTAAAAATATACACACAGTAATAGAACCGAGTATGAAGAAAAGGAAATGTGCTGCAGTTTAAATAAAGAAGAGACTTAACCTTGGATGGCCCTGCAGAATATTTAATCCAGTACAGAGGAGGGTTCTTACAGCAATTCCACTCTTCTGAGCAGTTTAGAAAACAAGCTAGAAAGCATTCATTCACTTGGTAGATTAAAATATATTTAGCATTTTTTCTTTTCATTTAGCCGTTCTAAAATTAAAAGTTAAATGCAAATCACACTATTCATGGCCATATCATTTTCTTCCTGGTAGTGAACCTCTGGCTCTTTCTGTCTTGTTACATTAAATGATATCTTAAGAAAATAAATGACACCTGGGTTGTTATAGTCCATTTGGCTGCCTGGGCTTTTGTGGGTAAGTCTGAACTGATATGGGGAAAGGCATGTTTTACTATTTGTACAAAGTCTCAAAAAATAAAAATTATACCTCTCTAATATTTTCCACGATCATTTCCACTTTGCTAGGCTTAACAATAAATTTTAGCATGGCTGATGGTTTCCCTTCTGGGGTTGAAAAACTAAAATGTTTTTCAAAGAAATGTACGTCACAGAATAAACAAGAGCAAAATCACTTTTTGTGACTTACCCTTTCCTGGTATGGCAAGAGGCTGCCATTTCCTTTCAACAGAGACGAACGAGGCCAGAGTATGTTTTACAATCTGTGCACAGACTCATTCACAGCTGAATCTAGGCATTGCCCAAAAGCAATTAATTTCTAAAATTTCACAACTATGCCTCACAAAATGCAAAGTCGAGGCGGGAGGATTTATATGACAGAGGGTGGGCCACCACCTGCAGAGCACACCAAGGAGGGACAAGGTTGCTGAATGGTACGCAAAAAAACCCAAAACAAAACAGGAAAGCCTAAGTATGAACTACCTTCTCATCTTTGCTTTCCCTCGAAACTTAACGACTTAGACAGAAAGTTGGAGTCTATGTACAATGTGGGATAACAGAGTTATTGGATCTATGTATCAGCTTTCTCTGTTTGACATTCAACTGTAAACAACAGACAACTCACCTGATTTGGATTAGTTTACCTAAAGCATCAGGCAAAATACACCAGGTTCCTGATTTCTTTTTCTTGGGAAAATACATTGGTTCTTCTGAACACTTTCTCGTGACACACGCAGAAAGAGGCACTATAACTAAGAGAGCAAGGTACCTCTCAGACCACCAGGCCTGCAGATCGTCCAGCGCAAAGACGGTCAACTTACTGCAAGATGGGAGAGAAGATGCCTTGTGGCCAGGAAGCCGAAACCCTCCCAAACACAATTCTCCAGTTACACAATCCACAAATGATCTTAAGAGCTGTTGAAAGCAAAGGACCAGTGAACAATCCTCCTATGATGAGTGGTTCAGCCACAAAAGAGAAATGTGTTAATCAGAGAGAATTTTTTAAAAAATTCGAATGCCACTGTCAGCATTCTTTTCACATAAAATTCTGTCAAAGACCACAATTTACAGAAAAGATCAAAGAGATGTAGAGAAAACAAATATTTAAATTATGATTGATGAGACAGAATGATACAAGGTAGGTTAAAACGAGGCTAAGATACAATGGAATCTAAACATCCTAAAGGCCCGGAGCCCTGCAGCCTCTTCCCCCCAGTTCCTGACACCCACCATTGTGATTTCCAGTGGGACCTGTCCCCAGTTAGCTCACTGCAACTCTTATTAGTAGCTGCTACCTCCAAATTCAGTTTAAGTTTTCAATCTTTTCTTAACAGTGTGTGTGGGTGTGGATGTGGACGTGGATGTGTGCATGTGTGTGGGTATGTGCATGCATCTGTGCGTATGTGCATGTGAGTGTGGACGTGAGGATGTAGGAGTGTTTGCATGTGGACGTGTATGCATGGATGTGTAGGTGTATGCATGGATGTGTACGTGTATGCAGGGCTGTGTGGATGTATGCATGTATGTGGGTGGGTGTGCATGTCTGCATCTGTGTGTACCTGTGAGTGCAGGTGTGTGTACGTGGGGGGTGGTGTGTGCATGTGCACGTGTGCTTGCATACGTGCATGTGTGTATCCATGCATGTGAATGCAGGTGTGTGTATGCAGGGGGTGGGGTATGCATGTGTACATGTGTGGATGTGCTAGAGGACAGTGGTGGGCAGTGACCCACAGCCCTCCCTTAGGCTACCTGCCAGGTGAGGCTTGCCCATGATGAAGTGGGAGGCCCTTTGAGCAGGGAAAAGTGACTGGCAGCTGCAGGAGGCCTGCCTTCATCTGCCACTGCCTTGAGCTTCACCAAGAGTGAAAGCTAAAACGACAAAGTCATGGAAGTTACTTGTTACTGTTTCAGAATAAAAAGACTTCTAGTTTTCCCAGGAAAATTTGTTCTGTTAAAAAATAATATAAAGGTGGGCTAGAAGAAGGGAGGAAGGCATAGAGAAACTTATAATCAGTTTTTTGCCAGTTTTCGTCTCTGTCCACTTCCACTCATTTTTTTTTTTTGATCGGTTAACTAATAGTTCTCACTTGCCTGCTGTCAGTCATTTTTGGATTTGTAAAATTCTTTCTTCTTAATATTGAAGTGTGACTTTCAGGAAATAAAAAGGCACAGGAATAATAATCCTTATAAACTGAAGATGAATTATTCATGCAAAAGGAATTTTTAAATTGACATCAATTTCCTAATTGATGTCTGTCACCACCCTCATCTGCAGACCGAAGTGCTCGCTTCAACCTTGTGGAATGTTCTGGTGGCCATGATGTACTCAGTGCTTCCGGACGTGGGGCATTCCTGGACTGGCCATCAGGATCTCTGTGCATTATGTTTACCATGGCCTGAGGAGAACTTGGGGTGTGTCCGTAACCAAAAAAATAGATGGCAATTTTCACATCTGGGACTCCCATAATTTTTATACACGAAAGAAGGCTTTCATCTCTAAGTGCTCCTCAGCAACTGGAAACTATTTTAAATTATAAATATTAGCAATTTATTAATAATATGCAAAAAGGATGCCAGCATAAGCTCACTGATCAAAATTACTATGTTTTTATATTTAGTTATTTCATATTTAAATAAGCAGATTGCTGAGACTTCGTGGAAGTACTTCACTAAATACTGTTTTTACATCACAAAATGCTTCTACAATGGGAAATATTCTAATTTCTACTTTAAAATGTAAGGGAGCTTAGGTTCATAAAAGTTAAATTGATGTTGCTATTAGTTTGTAAGCTAAGAAAACATGAAATTTCATTGAATAAACTAGAAAGCCTTGATTCCATTAAAAACTAACTGTATTCTATAAAACATGTTTTATAAGGTCAGTATTCTAAATTATTTAGGTTCATTAAATGTTGTGAAACATAACATTCCTAATAATTTAAAATTTTAATATGTAGTTATTAGATTCCTAATCAGGATGTACATACAGATTTCAAACACTTTTGAATAATTAGCTATAATCATTTTACAAAAATAGTCATCATGATGTGTACTTAATTGTATACTTATCATTTGAAGTTTACAAATGCCTACGTAGTATTTCTACATATTTCCAATAGAAGTCTCAATAATGTGTATGTGAATGTATATGTGAATAATTTTTCCAGTATGAATAAGTTTGCATTAAAAGATGGAAAGATTAATAGACTATGGGGCACAACATTTTAAAGTCGTGAGTTTATTCATCCTTGAGTTGTAAAAAGATTAGTTGCGACAATAGCTTGTGCCTGGGACAATTTCTGCCCTCAAGTACTGCTTACATAACTGTGTTTACACATAAGCCTGACCAATAGGACAGACTTTATTCAGTTCTGCTAGAAATTTGCTGATTTAAATATGTTAGAGTGTGCTTGAAAAATAAGCAGGAAAGACAGATTCGTCAGAGTTTTAGTGGCTAGTTTCTCCAACAGAATTTCTTAGGTAACTGACTTGTATCAATCCCAATCGTAAACACTGAGCAAAGAAGACCTGGCACAAAAAATAAAAAGGAGACAAACCTGGATTTTCCATTTATTGTCCACACCTCCCACCATTCAAAATATGTTTTCCTTGTTTTGTTTTTGGAAAATTAATATTTCAATAATAATTTGAATTATCGTGTCTGTACTTTAATAGTGGATTAGCCTAACTTATAGAAAGCAAGAAAGAACGTGTAGAAAAAGGAACATTGCCTGGGGTGTAACAGGCAAATGTCAATATTTGTTGACTTGAAAACAGTTGAGCTTAAATTACTCCAATGTGCATACACAGAAGACCTCTCTGAATTAGTAGCTAGACAATTTGTGTGAAAATAAACCTTTGTTGTAAGTGCTGTCGAGAATTGCACTGCCTCTAGGATCTGTGAAACACAGATTTCTTAGACAGCTTTAAAGAAAAGAATTATTGAATTGTTGTAAACCAAGAAAAGAAAGTAATGTGAAAATTCTGTAAATATAGAAGATGGACTAAATATGTGAAAGACTCCCCTGTTTGATGTGGGAAGCTGACTCGTCTCTTTCTGGAAGAGCATCCTAAATTCTTTGAGAATTAATTTATATTTTATTTCTCTTAAAGCATGCCAAAAACCATTTGAGGGGCAAGGGCTGATACAGCCATGCATTTCATTCCCTTTTTTTTTTTTTTTTGGCTGGGGAATGGGGGCAATATCCTACTTTACATTGTAGGGTTTCTGGCCCGAAAATATGTTTACTAGCAAAATCACTGCCAAAACTGAGAGTCAGTAGTTACCAGCATATTTATGTAAAGCAAGAGCTTAGAAAGCTACATGGCGTTTAGGACTTTTTTTCTGGATACTAATCAGCATCGTGCCTCATCACACAGTGCCTAGTCATCGTTCCACGTGGCAGCGCAAGAGGACCAGTGCTTTGAAGCAATCCAGCATTGTCACCAAGGAAAGCATGGTCTATGAATTCTAGTTCAAAACTGATTTTCCTAAAAAATGAAAACTTCCTTCTCAATGTGTTTAACAAATACATGCTTGCAAACAGGAGGTGACTTAACAGCAGAAACAATTATATTTGAACAAATCCAAAACAAAACAATGTGCAGGAACAAGCAGCAATTACGAGCATTTTCTTTCACAAAATGAAGTCTGCAAAAAGGTTTACCATCCACTGAGGTGGCCTTTCTAGGATTTAATTCTAATTATTTAATTGAAGAGAGATTCTCCATTTGTTCTCAGATAAAACTCTGTTGAAAATCCTCACTAGTCTACAGAGTCCTGAAAAGCTATTGTTTCTCAGAAGGAAAGCAGATACGTGTGCTTAAATCTATCATTCATGTCTGTGCATTCATTTGAGTTCTAATGAATGTTAGTGGAATGAATATGCATCCTGTCAAACATATATATAAACCACAACAATGCTGCAAATCAACACAGACTCACATATCCGGCCTCAGAAAAAAATGTGGCCGAGCTCAGGGAGAATTACTTTATGGAAAAACAGGAATTCAATAAAAATGCAAAATTGAAAATGCAACCCACATATTTAATATTATATTGTTTTCCTCTTTATCACTATACTTCACATCTAACCTATTGTGGTTTGGCTTTCTATGTCCATAACCTAGCCAGGGACAAAAAAGCAACATCATTAGTTCACGGAGCAGAGGCTTTTGGGGAGGTGTAGAAGTAGAAAGGACAGAGGAGCAAAAAGTTATAGAAACAGAAAAGTACCAGCAATCTGCTTTAAGATCAGAGAAAGTAACCAAGTTCCCAGTTTAAAATGGATTGCGCTATAGCTAACACATTTAAAGAATGAAGCACCTGGAAGAAAAAAACCCTTTAACTGAATAGCAGAACAATCAGTGTGATCTACGACCGCTGCTGGTATACAGTTATTTGGAAAAACTCCACTACCACCACCCATATGTCCTGTTCTACGCAGATGGCCAGAGAAAGGCGCCAGAAGAGAAGGCCCCACAGTTCAGCCGAGACTTGCTGCAGAATCGTTGTTTATTAAAAAGTGCAGCCGGGCGCGGTGGCTCACGCCTGTAATCCCAGCACTTTGGGAGGCTGAGGCAGGCAGATCACGAGGTCAGGAAATCAAGACCATCCTGGCTAACATGGTGAAACCCCATCTCTACTAAAAATACAAAAAATTAGCCAGGCTTGGTGGTGGACACCTGTAGTCCCAGCTACTTGGGAGGCTGAGGCAGGAGAATAGCTTGAATCCGGGAGGCAGAGGTTGCAGTGAGCCGAGATTGCACCACTGCACTCTGGCCTGGGCGACAGAGCCAGACTCTCCCACAAAAAAAAAAAAAGAAAGAAAAAAAGAAAAAAAAAGAAAGAAAAAGAAAAGTGCAGTCATGGGATTTTTGAGCTTAAAGGGATTTTTGAGATTCTCCTATCCAACTATCTTACTTTTCAAATGAGACAACTGGAACTCTCAAGAGGTCAAACAATCAGGGTCAGTATCAGGCAGGATCCAGAATGTAAGGTTTGGAATTTTCAATGTAATTTTTTTTTCAAACCAACAGTCCTATAGTCAACTCTTGATTTTTCAGGGGCTGTGGATATTTTCATTTCTTCATTTTTAGTTTCTCACTGCTAAACATTTTTATTATTTTCTTCACCAGGTGTGAAAAAATAAATTCAAACTCAAATTAACTGGCTATGTTCTATGTTCTCATCTTTGTTACAAGGGCTCAGTCAGGAAGAACAAAGGTTCAGACTGTTGGCTAAAGTGTGTCCTGAAAATTATCTTCAATCCTGCATGTACTCCTCGTCCTTTAGTACCACAGAGAGTTCAAAGATGAGCTCACAGGAGGCAACTACCTGCAGGGGGCAGGACATCCAGGGACCTCCACTGGAGTGTGGCCAGGACACAACTGGTGGGCACTCCGGTGCATGCCATCACCTTCAGAAATTATAGTGTGTGCCTGAGAGGGGAACGCAGCTCAGTTGGCATCTTAGGGGAAACCTACCAAACACAAAGGGTGAGAAATCTGCTGTTAAGGAGTGAAAAATATTTTACTGGGTTTGTGCAAAACCAAGGGAGCAATGAAAAACTCAGATAAAATTCATGTCATGTTAGATCAAAAGAAATGAGGTATAAAGACAGGCTTTATACCGCGTTTCATATGCAAGGCGATCCTGATGCTCCTGGGCAGTGGGAAGCCTTCATAAATGAGTGTCAGCAAGGCTCAGATCCTGCAGCAAAGGCCAGAGGCCAGCACCGTGTCTCCCTCCGACGTGCAGCTGCAGCTAGTGCTTCTGCTCCGGGTGGGGTGATATGCCTGGACAGTGGAGGTGCAGAGTGGCAAGCCAGCGGCTGCTGCCCTAAGACTCAGTCCACACTGCACACCATCACATCAGTGGGTAAAACTGGGAAGATGGTGCCATTTCCCATGTCTTTCCTATTACTGCTGACATCACTGACAAAATGCAAATTGGCCTTGTTCCCACTGAATAAAGAGGACCTTCAAATGGAGAATTCCAAAAGACAAGACAAAACAAACAAACCACCCCAAAACAAAAAATCAACCACCCACTCCCAGCTAGCAATTTAAGTTAAAATGCTATCATGCGGTCCGTTAGAAATCCTTCTTTTAGAACATAAAGAGATCTAAATCCTTTTTCACAGAAAATCACATAATTAGGTTATTCCTGCCCTCTGCAGCACAGGGCAGGGCTGGCAGGGCCGGGAGAGAACCCAGGTCCTCACTAAGCACAGACATTTTCACATTCTGACTGAGTTGTTCCCTCTCTCCAGGTACTGGGCTCTCATATCTCTGGCAGTGTGTGCCTCTCCTCAATTTCTCCTTTCCTTCTGGACCACCTACAGACACAGCCCACTGCCAGAGACGCCCAGATATAAACACAGGTGCAAAACACATCTGCATTATTGTGCTGGATGGCAGCACGGCCATATGGTTGGAGTAACACTATTGTAATACCATATCCCTGCTGTAGAACCAGCTTTATTTACAATTTTCTTATTAAAATATGCAAATAGCAAGTAAATAGAAAACCACAGAGCTCTGTTTTGCTGTAAAATTGATTGGAGACGTTTGACTATTTTAAGGACTTTTGATATACAGAGCTCTGAATATAAAAAGCTCTGAAGCCAACATAAAAGAAGATGGTTAAGTCCACTTAAAGGCATTTGCTAGGAGCACACCATAGTACGATTAAGGTTAAAACAAAAGGATGTAAGGGGCTTCCTTAACTAATAGGTCCAATCCAGGAATTGCTAAAACAGAGTTGAAACTTGCAGTCCTGCAGAATTTCAAATTGTCCTGTAATCCTAAAACACAGAAGGCTCCAGCAAAGCATGGCAATGCTGGGTGGTATTTGGTGAAACATCTCAATCGTCCATTTATTGTCAAGATGTGTACATATCAAATTTTGCTGATAATTTTGTGTCTTTAAGTGGCCACTCAGCATATTTTGAACTAGACAACTGGACACAGGCATCTCCTCCAACTCTGTTACTATCACAATGTACTGTATTCTTATTTTTGTTTTTGAGGCAACGCGTATTTGTTGAGCATCTATTATGTGTGAGGCATGGATGAGCATTACAGCATCCCTCCTCTTAAGTTTACATTCTAGTGAGGGGAGAGAAACATTTTTAGAAAACAAATAGATAATACTGTATTTACAGGTTGTGGTGAGTGCTGTTACTGAATGGGCAGCCTGATGTATTGAATAACTGTGCTAGGAAGCTCTGTGGTATCTACAACAGTGAATAAGGCAGGAATCTGCAAGCATGGAGTTGAGAGCCTGTGAATAACAGAAGACCAAATAATCATTAGTCTTCAGTAAAAAGGATGTCTAAGATACAGCAAATTACAGTAGTTTTGAGGGTTAGGTTCTGTACTAATTATGGCTTACCACACACTGATGTGCCACACACTACAGAACACAAAAGGTGTTGATTTAACATTAAAAAAATCTAAGAACAGGGAATTGTGTCTCTCCTAGTACTTCTAAAGACTGTTTGCAAAGGGATTTCATGCTTCAGAGTTATTCTTTCTCTCCAGGTCAAACAAAACCTGAGACAGAATTGAAAACACAAAGCTATGCAACGATATTCAATCGCTCTAACAGCTACCACTGCAATTTTAGGTTTAATGATTTTATTTGCTGCCAACTTCTGCATATACTGCACTAATGTTTGCTAGCTGGCTTTGGAATTAGGACCAGAAATGTAAGAAAAAAGAAAGAAAACACCACCAGTACTCTTTATGTTAACAAAAGAGTCTCTTTCCTATTCTGAGTGTTTTTGTTTCAGGAATACAGTGTTATTTATTTTTTTAATCTGTGTGTTCTCAAGGCCCATACATCCTGGCTTAATGGCAGGATCACCTAACCTGGGAAACGGCAAGTCACCGAGACCCAGAGGGTTTGGTTTCACTGTGAAGGGGGCGTGCCGCTGCCAGGGATTTCTCACTTTATTTTTTTCAAATGCTGCTGCCAAGCCTCAGATTCACATTTCCTAGCTTCCCCCTTGCTCTTTATAATTGATGACGCTGGGGACAGTCAAGTGATTGCATACTGGCTGCACTTCAACACATCCTCTGATAAAAAGGAGAGGAAAATGAAGTCATGCTAGATTCCACATCACTTTTTTGTTCCAGGATGTACTTCCCTAAAAAGTGTGCAATTCAGCACATAGATATTTGAGGCTGGGTGTGGTGGCTCATGCCATGGGAGGACTGCTGGAGCACAGGAGTTCGGGACTAGCCTGGGCAGCACAGCGAGATCCCATTTCTACAAAAAACAGCAACAAAAATTACGCAGGCATGGTGGCACGCATCTGTAGTCCTAGTTACTCTGGAGGCTGAGGAGGAGCATCCCTTAAGCCCAGTAGTTCAAGGCTACAGTGAGCTAGGATCTCACAATTGCAACCCAGCCTGGGTGACAGAGTGAGACCCTGTCTCTAATAACAAATATATATATCTTTGAATTGTAATAAGTATAGGTTGTTTTAGTCTGTGATAATAACAACCTTGACTGGATTCCCCCAGAAGCTGATCCAGGGCTAGCATTTCACTTGGGAGGTGACAGCAGGAAAGAGCAGGAGGGGAGTGGGGAGGCCAGTAAAGGTGTGCTATGGGGCACTTCCCCGAGGGAGACTGGAGCAGCTCCCTGGGACTCTGCCATGCAATGGGGCACGTGCAACCAGCCAAGCTACCCCCGCCAGGGCATTTACACACCAACTCTTTGCCTGCCATTGGCCGAGGCCTTCTTCTGAATTAACTCTCTAGGGCTTCCAGCTTGCTCTGCTCCAAAAAGAAATCCCTCAAGCACAAAGAGAGATGCAGGTGTTCCCAGAAAGCAGCCTTCAGTTGGGGGAATCTGGATGGGCACTGATGGCCTCTGTTACCATCCTGCCTGGTATGGCGGATCCACGGCTACAGATCTCTGTCCTGGCCCTGATTCCTCATGATGGTGTCCAGTCATACTTTACTGGGGGAAAAAACCCACCTCAGGAGGGTCAATAGGTTGGGCTATAATGCCCACTGCTGCAGTTAGTTCTAAGGCTACAGTGATTTTCATCATCTTCTTCCTTAATCACCCGGCTCCGTTCTCTTCACCTGCAGCTAGCACTTCTGTGGCCCAGGCTGCTTCCTCAACGAGGTGACCCAGACCTTCTTCCCTGTGAGGTCTGAGCCCTTGGTTATCATTCCTTGTCAGGCCAGGGTTGCTGCATTGCCAGTTTACTGGTATCACCAGCCAAGGAAAAGATGCCCAGTGAGTCCCCTGCATTCCAGAAATAATCCTCCCTCCCGTTTCCTACTCATAACCAGGACCAAATTTTGTTGCCTGGGATCCATGAGGATCCCAAGTAAGGAGAGGCTTTTAGATTTAGTGAACCCTGTGTCACCCAGGAGAGCATCTTCGGCACATCCCAGGGGCCAGGACCCTGGCTACTGGGGATGCTGCACCATACACTGATATTAGGCTCTGAATATATACTGCATCCCACAGCACAGCTTCCAACTCTGCTGGAGCGTTCGCTGTGCCTTTGTGGGGCCATGCTGATGTCCTATCAGGGTGGCAGTCTGGGGTGTGCGATCTATGGTGGAACCAGTGGAGCTTGCGGTCACGTCCCCTCTGTCTGCCTCTTTCGCTCTTACAAGGGTGCTTGGTCCAAGGTGGTATTATGGGAAATCCTGTGATAAGGCAAGACATTCTGTAAGCAATTGGGTAGTCATGCCTGGAAGGCTCTACAAGCAAGGAAGACAAACCCAAACCCAAACCCAGAATATGCATCTGGGCCTATGGAAATCAACTTGCCACCGAGAGACGGCAGCCACCATACCATGGGCTGCCCATTGGCCTCTACGGCTGGAGAGGGCAGAGGCACTGTCTAGATCTGCCTTTTTCTGTGGGTCCCTGTAGCCTCCAACCCTGTGAATGGCCATTCCATTCACAGGCCCATTGTGCAGAGACTGCCTGACCTGCCCTAGCTGAATCATCCCATTTGCTCTGTGCTCTGCTGCGGATGCTGTCTGCCGGGCAGGCATTTGTGTAAGACACATAGATGGGCCAAATACTGTTTGTGTGAGGAGCATGTGTGAGTTCTTGAGCTGAGAGGCTGTGATATCCACAGCATGGTTATGCAGCTGCTTCCTGGCCACCCTCCTCTCCATCCAGCTCTTATGTTTCTCCAGCAGGTCTCCTACCTTTGGGAATTTCTGCACCAAAAGCAGGCACATACTCTTGGTCACATATAGTCCTGAGGGCAGCCCAACTCCGCCAAGAACTCCACACTGATGCTCAGCTCCACTCTGACAGCAGCAAGCACAGGCTCGTGGGTGCCTCGAGCCAACAGGTACTAACCCAGATTAAAACAGCTGAGTGAATTCCTCATAAGCTCCAAAAGGCATCTAACCCAGATTAAAACAGCTGAGTGAATTCCTCATAAGCTCCAAGAGGCGTCTAACCCAGATTAAAACAGCTGAGTGAATTCCTCATAAGCTTCAAGAGGTGTCTTACCCAATTGCTGGGGGCTTTCTTTTCTTCCTTTTCTTTTTTTTTGACAGCGTCTCACTCCGTAGCCTAGGCTGGAGTGCAGTGGCACAATCTCGGCTCACTGCAACCTCCGCCTCCAGGGTTCAAGTGATTCTCCTGTCTCAGCCTCCCAAGTAGCTGGGACTACAGGCACGTGCAACCACGCCCGGCTAATTTTTTGTATTTTTAGTAGAGACGGCGTTTCACCATGTTAGCCAGGATGGTCTCAACCTCCTGGCCTCATGATCCACCCGCCTTGGCCTCCCAAAGTGCTGGGATTACAAGCATGAGCCACCGCGCCCGGCCAGGGGGCTTTCTCTATAGTGCGGGGAGACTTTAGGGTGACCATATAGCGTCTAAAAGGAACACTTTTGACAGTAAAAAGGGCACTCAATAATTAAGCCTTCATAACAGACACAAATCAGTCATCCCACGCAAAGTGGAACATGTGGTCACCTTAGTTATCTGCCTTCTTTGCCAGTTCAAGTGGCCAATTCCAGGATAACCAGAAAAACCCATCTAAATATCCTGTCACACCAGCTTAAACCCCATGATCCTGTCTGATGTTATTTCTCTGCATAGAACCCGAACTCCTCTGTTCCCTGCTCCATCTTCTGTGTCAAACTCCAATCTCAGCTACAACTAATTTTCTAACTCCCTGCCTGCACTAGAGCAGCCAAAACAACACAAGCAGGCCGACTGGTTCCATTTGAGACTTAAGACCACACATCCCAAGTGGGCATTCTGCCCTGCCTGGCAATCTGGCTACATATCCTTAACAATTCGCCTTACAATGTCTAAGTTAACAATCTCACCCCTTCTCAGTCCTCCCTCGTCCCCACCCCCTGCTCACAGATGATCTTGTTGGTTCCTTTGTTAACACAGAAGCAACCAGAAGAGTATTTTCTCACTTTCTCCTCACCATGTCTACCAACCCACAGCTATAGCTTCACATTCCGCTCACTCTCCTACTACACAGCTCAACTCTGGTGGCTCCTAAGAACAACCTCTGCCCTCGTGCAACAGGTCCTACCCTCTCTTACCTTTCTCAAAGACTTGCTCTGCAGTTGCTCCCTCTCTCCTGCATCAGCGGTTCCCTCTTTACATGTTTTGTTAATAGCTCCCATCTTAAAACAGACTTTTTCCTTGATACCATGCCTCTCTAGCAACTACCGCCCATCTCTGCTCCCTTTGTCACACAACTCCTCAGAGGGGTTGTCAAAGTAGCCAGATGAAAATACAGAACATCCAGTTAAATGTGAATTTCAGATAGTAACAATTTAGTATACGTATGTCCCGTGCAATATTGGGGCCGTACTTTTACTAACAAATACTAAAACTGTGTCTGGAATTGGTAAGTTCTTGGTCTCACTGACTTCAAGAATGAAGCCGCGGACCCTTGCGGTATGTGTTACAGTTCCTAAAGGCGGCGTATCTGGAGTTTGCTCCTTCTGATGTTCAGATGTGTTCGGAGTTTCTTCCTTCTGGTAGGGTCGTGATCTCGCTGGTTCAGGAGTGAAGCTAGAGACCTTCGCGGCGAGAGTTACAGCTCATAGAGGCAGTGTGGACCCAAAGTATAAACAGCAGCCAGATTTACCCCAAAGAGCAAAAAAATAAAACTTCCACAGTGTGGAAAGAAACCGGAGCAAACTACCACTGCCAGCTCGGGCAGGCTGCGTTTATTCTCTTATCTGGCCCCCACCCACATCCTGCTGATGATTGGTCCATTTTACAGAGAGCCGATTGGTCCATTTTACAGAGAGCTGATCGGTCCATTTTGACAGGGTGCTGATTGGTGCGTTTACAATCCCTGAGCTGGACACAAAAGTTCTCCACCTCCCCACGAGATTAGCTAGACACAGATTTTGGACACAAAGGTTCTCCAAGTCCCCACCAGAGTAGCTAGATACAGAGTGTCGATTGGTGCATTCACAAACCCTGAGCTAGACACAGGGTGCGGACTGGTGTGTTTACAAACCTTGAGCTAGATACAGTGTGCCGATTGGTGTATTTATAATCCCTGGGCTAGACATAAAGGTTCTCCAAGTCCCCACCAGACTCAGGAACCCAGCTGGCTTCACCCAGTGGATCCCGACCGGGGCCGCAGGTGGAGCCGCCTGCCAGTCCCGAGCCATGCGCCCACACTCCTCAGCCCTTGGGTGGTCGATGGGACTGGGGGCCGTGAAGCAGGGGGCAGCGCTCGTCGGGGAGGCTCGGGCGCACGGAAGCCCATGGCGGGGGGGGTTGGCTCAGGCACTGCAGGCTGCAGGTCCCCAGCCCTGCCCCGCGGGAAGGCAGCTAAGGCCCGGGGAGAAATTGAGCACAGCAGCTGCTGGCCCAGGTGCTAAGCCCCTCACTGCCCAGGGCCGGCGGGTTGGCTGGCCGCTCCGAGTGCCGGCCCGCTGAGCCCACGCCCACCCAGAACTCGCGCTGGCCCGCAAGTGCCGCACGCAGCCCGGGTTCCCACCAGCGCCTCTCCCTCCACACCTCCCCACAAGCTGAGGGAGCCGGCTCCGGCCTTGGCCAGCCTAGAAAGGGGCTCCCACAGTGCAGCGGTGGGCTGAAGGGCTCCTCAAGCACAGCCAGAGTGGGTGCCAAGGCCGAGGAGGTGCCCAGAGCGAGCGAGGGCTGTGAGGGCTGCCAGCACGCTGTCACCTCTCAAAACAATGTTTTAGTAGAAGTATATCCCATGCAACATTAGTTTAGTGATAAATATATCTATACTACAAATTACTTGTTGTTTATCTGAAATTAAACTTTACTGGGTATTTGTATTTTTATTGCTAAATCTGCCAACCTAGGTTGTTGAAACTTACTTTTTTCCACTTCACTTAATATTCTTTTCACAGTCCACTCTGACGAGATGTAGCTTCCCCACACTCCTTTGAAACTGCTTTTGTCAAGGATGCCAATGACTGGCATATGCCAAACTCAATTGTCTCTGGAGTCTTGGCCTCACAGTACTTCTGAACATTGGCTATCAATTCCTCCTTCCTGAAACTATTTAGCTTCCAGAATCCGCTACCCCCACTTTCC
This sequence comes from Homo sapiens, assembly GCF_000001405.40. Lineage (NCBI taxonomy): Eukaryota > Metazoa > Chordata > Mammalia > Primates > Hominidae > Homo > Homo sapiens. The sequence goes on along the minus strand of NC_000006.12, from coordinate 694,070 downwards.
TGATTGTCCTTCCTCCCTGGCCATAGCCCCTGAACCCGAGCTTCCCCCAACCTAGAGCATCCCCTGACCCTAAGTATCCCCCCAACCCTGAGAACCCCCTGACCCCGAGTATCCCCCGACCTCGAGAACTCCCCGACCCCGAGCATCCCCCCAACCCCCAGCATCCCACGACCCCGGGCATCTCCCCCGATCCTGCGCATCCCCTGACCTGGTATGGCGCCCTGACCCAGTGCAGCCCTCAAACCCCTGCAGCCCCCTGACCCCATGCATCCTCCTGACCTAGGGCTGCCCCTGACTCAATGTTGCCCCCGGACCCCAGTGCCTCCTCCTGACCTGAGGCACGCCCCCCAACCTGGTACAGTCCCCTGATTCCAGTGCATCCTTCTGACCCAGTGCTGCCTCCTAACCTGGTGCATCCTCCTTACCCAGTGTGGCCCCCTGGGGATGCACACTCCAGTGCATCCTCCTGACCTGATGCTTCCTCTGGTCTCGGTGCAGCCCCCCTGACCTGGTGCAGCCCTCTGATTCCATGCATTCTCTTGACCTTGTGCATCCCCCTGTTCCGGAGGGGTCCTCTGACCCGATGCAGGGCCCATCGTTGTGAACTGTGGCCCACAAACGCACTATCATCCCACAGTCTCCCTGAGATGACCCGAGGGCACGGGGATGGATGGTGCACCCGGCCTGCCCCTTGAGCTTGTATCCTTCTTTCCCTCCCTCACCGCTTCCCGCCACCGCAAAGACGCCCAGCAAAAACCTCCTACTCGTGTCCATTCAGGCAGCTGGGTCCCTCGGAACCCAAGGCATTCCAGCGTCCACCGCCCACGGCCCCTGCTGACCTCCAGCACCCGCGCCGGTCTCCTCCCCTCCTCTACCCTCCCCTGAAGGCTCCGCCCATCGAGGACTCGGCGCTCGACTGCCAGGCGGATCTACACGCTCGGCGCTCGCGGCGGGCGGAAGTGAGGTGCCGGCGGCTGGCGGCCGCGGAGTCTTCGGCGAGACCTACCGGGCCCTGTCTGTGCCGGCCGTGAGCTGCGGCAGGACGGCTGGAGGTATGTGTGGGAGGCTGGAGGGCCTGGCCGAAGGCCAGCGGGACATGGACGTCAGCTGCACGGAGGTGGCCGCCTGCGGCGTCCGTCCAGGCCTCAGCGGTGAAGGGACAGCCGCGCCCACTGGCGCCGTCGGTCACCTGCGGGGCCCCGCGACCCCCCGCGGTTCCCAGCCCCGCAGCCCCCATCCCCGCCGTCAGCCGCCTGCTGGGCTCCGCGCCCACCCCCGCCAGTTCGCACCCCCGCGGTCCCCACCTGCGCCGGTGAGGGGCGTGGGCTGCAGAGGGCTGACTCCAGGCCCCGCCCGCTGGAGCTGGCCCCAGACTGCGCCGCTTCGCCCTTGCGCAGTTGCCACTCCGTGAGATTTGAGAATTTCTCCGGAAAAGTGAACGCGAGGCGGGTGTTACCTGTCTGCCTAGGCGTGCATCCCGCTCTGGCTGTCCTGAGCGCTTAAAAGGCGCCTGCCGCTGTTGTCAGCGTTTGCGTGCACGTACTTGATCCTCGCGCGGGTGTATGTACGCTGCCGTGTGACCCATTTTACGGATAGGGGAGCGGCGGCTCAGAGTGCTTGAGCAAAGAGCCTGAGGTCCTGTTGTAGCTGCCATTGAGACCTTGCGCGCCGGCTCCAGGTCCGCACACCAGCAGCCTGGAAGCCTGGTGATGCGTAACCCTGTATCCCAAGATTGTTAAGAAAACACTTTAGTAATTCCGAGAAATAGTTCTTGAAAGAACTCGTCTTTGAATGGAAGTAAGTTATTTTTAATCTGCCAAAGGTCAACATACTAATAAGTCTGAGAAATTTTAAGTCTGATGCCTTTATGAATCTGTGAGTAAACTTACAAGGAACACTTAAAAAATATTTTTTCTAAGTTAGCCACACTTTAATTAAATCTTTTTGTGTGCACTATGCAATATTGAAAAGTTACTTCTGAGCTTATGTGGATCTGTCTTCTAATGCATAATAATGTTTTGTTTATGAATGTTAGTATGTACTGGCCCATGCTTTGTGTAACTGACTCCTTTAATGACAAATCAACTGAAAGCCAGAATCTTCTCAAAGATGATTTTTTTGTGCTAAAAGTTGGCGATTCCCAGAGTAGTAATAGAAAGAGGGTGATGTGTGCTTAGTACTTACATGTTCACTTGTTTGTCTAAGTAGAAACTTAATAAATTAAAGCAGAGAAGCAGAGTTCCCCCAGTGTGACTTGGACCAACTCTTGGAAGTTTTAGAAAGTGATCTTTTTTTCTTGTCAAGTATTTAATTTCCTGTATTGAATGCCATTTTGAACTACAGTTGACCCTTGAACAACACTGGGGTTAGGGGTGCCCACGCAGTCAAAAATTTCCATGTAACTTTTGACTTTCCCAGGACTTTACTAATAGCCTACTGTTGACCAGAAGCCTTACTGATACATAAACAGTTGACTTACATGTATTTTGTATGTTATACGTATTATATACTGTATTCTTAAAGTAAGCTGAGAGAGGAAAATGTTAAAATCACAACAAATGTATTTACTCTTCTTTAAATGAAAGTGGAGAATCATGAAGGTTATTATCCCCATAGTCTGCATGAGTAGATTGTGGAGGAGGAAGAAGAGGAGGGATTTTCTCAGGAATGGCAGAGATGGAAGAGATGGAGGAAGTGAAAGGGGAGTGGGAGATGCAGGCACACTCAGTGCAACTTTTGTTGAAAAAATCCGTGTATAAGTGGATCTGTCTCATTCAAACCCATGTTGCTTAAGGGTCAACTGTATTACTTTTCTAAAAGATGGTTATTAACTTGCTAAGTTCTTGGGAGCCCATTATGTAAGAATCATATGGGAAATGAAGTTGGTACTGAAAAAATAGTCTTCTAGCAAAGAACTTTTAATATTTCTAGTGTCAAGCAGCAGCAAGATTAGGCCATACAGGAAGTGCTGGTTACAGAGGTGTCCTCTCAGTTACTTTTCCACTCATTCTCCAGTTTACGCATCTTAATCCAGCCTGGGTTCCTAGTCCAGCGTCTGCCACATAGTAGGTGCTTAAATGTTTATTGAATGGATGAATTTTAGGTCACTGTTGAGAGGATTTTGAAACTGGGAAATAACATTCATTGATCACTCTGCTAAGCGGTGTACTAGGATGTTGATTGTACTCAGATCCTGGGGAATATGTTCTTGGACCTTCTGGACTGCCTGCTGAAATCACATGGTGATAGTGTGGACTTCTAATCATATGCTTTAGAGTATGTTTATATTAGTCAAAAATTATTATTGATATGAATACACAAACTTAAAAGTAATTGTAATGAAATTATGAATCTTTTTTGTATTTTTAAAGACAGAGTCTCACCCTGTTGCCTAGGCTGAAGTACAGTGGCGAGATCTCTGCTCAGTGCAAGCTCTGCCTCCCGGGTTCACGCCATTCTGCCGCCTCAGCCTCCCAAGTAGCTGGGACTACAGGCGCCCGTCACCACGCCCGACTAACTTTTTGTATTTTTAGTAGAGACGGGGTTTCACCGTCGCGATCCTCGTGACGGTGGACCTCGTGATCCACCCACCTCGGCCTCCCAGAGTGCTGGGATTACAGGCGTGAACCCCTGCGCCGGGCCGGGAAATTATGAATCTTAAAGCGATGGGTGACACACGCATCGGCATCCTTCAATCTCAGTTTGTTTATTGATTGAAAGGGGGTCTTGTTCTGTCACCCAGGCTAGAGTGCAGTGGCACAGTCACAACACACTGCAGCCTTGAGCGCCATGATTCCAGAAATCCTTCTACCTCAGCCTCCCAAGTAGCTGGGACTATAGGTGCGTGCCACCGGGTTCGGCTCATTTTAAAAATTATTTGTGGAGGTGAGGTCTTCCTACGTTGCCCAGGCTGGTCTTGAACTCCTGAATGCAAGTGATGCGCTGGCCTCAGCTTCCCAGTGCTGGGACTATAGGTGTGACCCACTGTGCCTGGCTGATCTCAATTTGAAAATCACAGAGTCAAAAGGTATTTTTGGCTTAGGCGTCAAAGCAACTATACACTGGTCCTTGGTCTAATCTGGTCTGCTTCATAGTACTGGCTGAGTTGCTTAGATGCTTTGGACTGTTTCCTTTTTTGTGTATTCAGAGAATACATGCAGTTAGATTATCTCTGAAATCCTTCCTGCCTTGAAATTTTCCAACTCAGTGAATCCTATAACCACCTAGCACTTGTCTTATAGCACTTGTGTTGTGTTAGGGACAATATTATTAATGGTGTTTACATACACCAGTAAAAGACTAAGCTCATTCTGGATCGGGATTAGTTTTAATTATTTTTGTATCTTCCAGTCTTACTGTATGCCTGACACATATATTAAAAATCAAATAATATTAGCCTGGATTCATAAGGGGTATTTTTGCCCTCTCAATTAAAGAATAGCTAAGAACTAAACTCTGTAGTATTGAGTGTAAGTCCAGCAGAAGCTCAGAGGTAGGAAGGATCCGTTGGGGCTAGAGTAATTGGGAAGCTTTGATGATAAGAGCTTGATGAAGGAAGGCGTGTGAACACCTGGGCTGCATACCAGGAGCAAAGGCCCAGGGGCTGGTAAGTGAGTGCATTTTGGATTATGGGTGGAGTGCCTTGACTGACAGGCAGAAGAGTTTGGAACTGATTTGTTAGACAGTTCTTTTTTGTTGTTTGTTTTTCCTGGAAAGTTTTATTAGGCCAGCTCAAAAGCTTCCTGAACATCCTTTACCTTAATTCCCTTGGTAGCATTTCAGATTAAAAATACATCATCCAGTTTGCTTTATTTTTGTTTTTGGGTTTATCAGTTTTTCTATGTAATATTTTCCACAGTAAATCTTGGTGCCAATAATGGAACGAACACTGGACACAGGACTGGGGAAGACTGGATTTCAGCTTAGGAGAAGGTGAGCTGCTCAGGGTGGATCCAGAGAGCTTCAAGACTAGTGCCCGGCACATCTTAAGCACTCAGTGACAAGTGCAGCGTTGAAGGCTTTTTTCCCTTTACTGCTTGCTAACAGTGCCACTTTGCACAAGGCTGCCCCTTCGTTTCATTTGTAAGCATGGATGAATTTTTAAAGGCCTTTTCTCATTTTAAAGGTTTGTGATTTTGGAGGGCATATGATTTAACTTTCATTGTATTATAATTTTAGCAAAAGACAAAACGAGACAAAAGGCCATGTTTGGCTTTAGTTTAATTTTAATGAAAACCCCATGTGAATGATAATGATGTATGTCTCAGCAGGAATCAGAAGTCATGCCAGATAGCTCAAATGAAGAAAGGTGCAGAGGGGATTAGGGAATATACAAGGAGTGGTGAGGAGCAAAGGGAAGCTAACAGTAACCAGAAAGGACAGAAGGAGAAAGTAGGGCTGTCTGGAGGAGGATCCGACTGTTGCCAGAGAAGTAGTGCTGGGGGCTGGAAGAGTAACACCGAACTGCCTCAGTGTTGGAACTGGTCCACTTCTGAAATCCAAAGTGCAGGCCTCCCACTGTTTGCTTATAGTCCCTCAACTTTCTCAGTCTCACTCACCCCCACTGCATCTATCAGGCGCTTCTGTGATCTTCAGTCACTGTCATGCCAGTGTGCTCAGTTGTATCGTTGTTGTTCTGTAGCATCTGCCTGGCAGCTTCTCAGCCTTGGGCAGTCTCAACTCTCTGCCTCCTGTAATGCTTGACCTGAGTTGCTGGGGCCAGCTGGGGAAAATCACAGTATCCAGATCTGTGCCCCTATAAATCCATGGTCACCAGCTCAGCTGGGCCATCAAGGAATCTTCCAGAATTTTCCTCATCAGTACCCGCTTCTTATCTCTGCAGAATGTACTTTTCAGCATTTTCACGCTTTTCGAACCTTTCATCCTTTCACATCATTTACACACACTCTTAGCAAGCGGTCTTGCCACCTACATCATAAATGAAAGAGATGTAAGTGGAGAATCGCAGGGGCTTCCTGCCAAAAACTGTTCCTCCTCCCCAGTCACAGTGGAAGAGGTTGTATTTATGCTAAGACCAATCTCCTACCTGGGCTGTGGATCCCATCTACCCCGCCTTTGTGAGGACTTCACTCAGGTGTTCATGTCTTACTAAAGCCTTCCTTCTGTTGGCCTTTATACATGCTTAGAGACAGACAAGAATAAAGTAAAACAGAAAAAACTAGAATCCTCCCTTGATTTCACATTGCCCTTTTAAAATTCCTCTCTTTTTCACTTTCCTGCCACATTTCTTAAAATAGTTGTTTGTAGCCAACTTCTCACCCATCCCAGTGCTGTCTGGTTTCAGCTACGATCACTCTCCTGAAGGCCAAAGTCATTCTTGAGCTTCTGGTCACAAAATCTTGTTCCTGTCATTTCTTCAGGGTAATGCCTGGGACATAGCAAGTGTATAATAAACATTTATTTGACTGAATAAATCCAAGGATGTTTCCTTTTCACAGCCCTAGTTTTTCTGTTTTTCTGGGGTATAGGAGTCCAATACTGTCATCTTTTGAGGATCTGGGTGACTAGTCATTGTATCGCAAATCATCTTGACGGACTAGGTAAAGATACAAATAAATATTATTTGAGGATAAGTTCAGTGGCTCAGTGCCTGTAATCCCAGCACTTTGAGAGGCCGAGGTGGAAGGATAGCTTGAGCCCAGGAGTTTGAGACCAGCCTGGGCAACATAATGAGGCCCCTTTTCTACAAAAATTAGAAAAAAGTTAGCCGAGTGTGGTGGTACATGTCTGTGGTCCCAGTTACTCAGGAGGCTGAAGTGGGAGGATCACTTGAGCCTGGATCACCTGAGGCTGCAGTGAGCTATGATTGCACCACTGCACTCCAGCAGCCTGGGTGACTGAGTGAGACCCTGTCTCAAAAAAAAAAAAAAAAAAAAAAAGAATATTATTTGATAATGACTTCTTCAATCTTGTTCAGGTGATCTGTCTTTCTGGGAAAATAAAACCCTGACATCTTTTTTTCTGAAAAACTATACTTCCTAAAATACTAAGACTTACTGTTTTTATCTATGCATATAGATCTAATAAGAGTAGTAGGGCATTGGGTACTACTGGCAATAGATTTGTGAATAAATAATGCTGTGCTCTTGTATGAAACTCTTTTGTTTTCCTATTAAGTAGTGTATCTTCTTTGAAGTTTTTGTCTTCATTTATTTGTTGGGGGTGGATGGAGGGGGATGAATTTGCACTGGCCTGGTTCATTTTTGACATGTCATCAATGTCCAGTGGCATCGGTTGGAAGTCCAGTCACCTTTAGACCTGCAGCCTTTCCCTGTGCAACATAGTGACAGTCCTTGTCCTCTAGGAGGAGACATGGCATGCTAAGGCAGAGGGCTTTATGGTTCCTGGGGGAATAAAGCAGACCTCTAAGTAACTTTTCCAATTAAGATAGAATCCAGTGCTTGTTTTATGAGAACAGCTGAGTAATCCGGTATATATATAACAGATCTCTTTTATGGGGGCTCTGAGAGCTAAGTTGTCAGGCATTCCCTATATACTTGTCTGGCTTCCAGTATTCCTTCCTAGTCATCTCATGCACATTCTCGTCCCCTTAATCTCTCACCTCCAAACATTGTAGAGGGAGGGAAGGCCTTTATTCCCATTCCTAAAATAAATAAATAAAAATCAAGTGTCATTTATCAGTTATATGGTTTAAATTATTGGATTATTTTCCCAAAAGAATTAAAATATAAACAAATATGCTTTCATTTGAAACCATAGATAGTAGTTCATGTATTTTTTTGTTTGTAGAGGTAGAGAAGGAAAAGAAGTATAAAAAGAGGTCCAGGAGGCCGGGCGCGGCGGCTCACACCTGTAATCCCAGCACTTTGGGAGGCCGAGGAGGGCGAATCATGAGGTCAGGAGTTTGAGACCATCCTGGCCAATATGATGAAACCCCGTCTCTACTAAAAATACAAAAAAATTAGCTGGGCATGGTGGCGCATGCCTGTAATCCCAGCTACTTGGGAGGCTGAGGCAGGAGAATCGCTTGAACCAAGGAGTCGGAGGTTGCAGTGAGCCCCACTGCACTTCAGCCTAGTGACAGAGTAAAACTCCGTCTCAAAAAAAAAAAAAAGAGGTCCAGGAAAGCAGGATACATTAATACATTACTTCTTACCTGTTCAGTCCAACCTGGCGACAGAGCAAGACTCCGTCTCAAAAAAAAAAAAAAAAAAAAAAAAGAGGTCCAGGAAAGCAGGATACATTACTTCTTACCTGTTCAGTCCTCCCCTTCTGCAAATGGCCCTTCTGAGACCCAGCGAGTCTTCTGCCCTTATCAGGCCGTAACTCTATACAATTTGGCCCCTATGAGTTCTTTCAGATCTGTGCATGCTTGTATTTTTGTTAACTATGATTTGGGGATGGAGCAGGAGGAGCAAGAGGATTAATTTGGAAAACTGGATTACAGAGTTCATGACCCTGTCTCTGAGACTTGTCCCACTGTGTGCTGTTATATGGTAGAATTTGTGGCAGTGCTAATGTAACTTGCACTTGATCTCACTCAGGAAGTGTGGAGTCTGTGTTTATAGAGAACTGGGGAAGAAAATCACCATTTTCCCGAACCCTTTCCCCAATATCTCTGGGCAATCCCTTTGGGTCCAGCCCAACCCAGCCCAGCAGGGACAAGTCTGTCTTAGGTTAGGTTGGGCCTGACTCTAGAAAGATTTGGTGAATTCTCTACTTTGATTATATTTTATGGTGCCCTGAGAGTTGGCTGAGCCTAATTTTACTGTTGAAACTCACTAGGCAGCTCTGCAACAGGATTCTTCTGGGGTCCTCTGGACCCAAAGTGGTTCTGGACAGCTAAGGCTACTGAGATTCTGCTTGATTTGTTCCCTGGTGATGCCAGTGCTGCCAGGTTGAGGCATATATGGGGAAGGGTGGACGTTTGGGAGGGTTGTGTGTGTGTGTGTGTGTGTGTGTTTTCAAATGATTGTGGGGAAAATCACCTTTCTATAGTCTGATCTGTTAGCGAAATAGTGTTTTCACATCATGAGGCCTTCCGTGGCCTGTTGAGTAGAGGTTATCCTAGTCTTCAGTGAGTCAGAACTTCTGTATTTTTCTGGTTCCTGGCCTTCTCTAGCTGAGAAGAACATCTGGGAGCATGACAAGGTGAGACCGTGATCACTCATTTTGTTCAGATTTCTTGTCTGCTGTTGAAATCAGCGAAACTCTTCATTACTAAATAGTAAAAAGTACTGCTTTTATGATTCTAAAACTACTTTCAGTTGTGGTTTCATTTCTGATTTTTTTCTTTATATTATTACTGCTAACTTTTTCTGTGTATTTTTAGTCTGAAGTTCTGTGAAAAATGACAACTTACTGTCTTTTTTTCTAGTAGTAAATATTTTGGAAAATTAAAATTGTGCCACAGTTTTAATTTGAGAAATTAAATATGGGAAAATTATAGAATTAAAATTTTCTGACTTCTGTTGCAGAAAACACTTTAAATCCATCCCTGTATGCTTCATTAAAGGAAAAGAGGCAGATGGTTTAAAATTAATATAGTATATCTATAAGGAAAATGTATTTACTTAAGTGTACAGTATAAATTGTAAGAAAATGTGGCCTTTTGTCTTGATTTTAGTGAAATGCTTTTGTAATAGTAATTTTCTCTTTTGACCTGTGATGGATAGGAGGTTAATTGATGTTAAATGGATGCTTTGTTAATCCTTCATCAGCTACTAAATTGGTATGGGGGAGTACAGGTCAAGACTACACAAGGCCATGACCAGCTTGTTTTCTCAGGGAGGTTTATGGATTCCACCCCTCCCCCTTCTCTAAACCACACATCACTCTCTCCAGCTGCACATAGGGAAGACTCTCCTGTCTCCCCTCCCCCTCTTCCTGCGGTCCTGTCTCCCCCTCCCTAACCTCATCCTTCTCCCTCTCTGGGCTGCTGCAGAGTGACAGCTTGTAGATGTTGCGTGCGAGGGAGTTCAGCTGGCGCTGTGTGGTCCGAGTGTGTGGTCTCCCGCTCAGCCGAGAGGCTGCTAACAGGGTGGATGAGAGAGAGAGCAACACTGTTTACTTTAATTTATTTCGGATGCCGGAATTGTGCCCAGAGTTTCTCCTGAGCTTGATTCCATAGCTAGCAGCTTCAATCCTTCGCAGCTGCGGTGCGTTCTGAACTCTGGGCTGTCCTTTCCTGACAGGCACTTTCCATAGCATCTGCCTGCTTAATCCCTCACGGCTCAGAAATGTTAACGGCACTGTTGAGTGCTGTGATTATTTTGCTTTCACTATGTCAAGATTTATGGCCTTCGAGAAGCTTCTTTTGAGATAGAGCTAGAGAAGGAAAGCAGAATTTGTAAGATCAGTGACAAAGTTGATGTATTTTTGGAAATTGGAAAAGCTATTATACAAAATTTGGGTCAAATTAATCCAACTTTGCTCATATAAAAGAACCTGGGAGTTAGCGACATCCTGTCATGTTTAACAGTTTTAATGAAATTAACCAATTTAAGCTGACGGTTGGTTTCTTGACCTTTTCTGAAACTCTGCATTGATTTTGGCATGCCTGTTTACCATAGTTATTATATTTGTCAGCGGTGATATTGGTTTATTTCATCCTAAAGATTTGACAAGTCGAGACAAATGAAACTTTGTTTTTATGTAGTAGTATAAATTTAGGAGAATATCTTTTTATCCAATCCTTTCATTATGAATAGCTTAGTAATATTTTCTTGATTTTGTTCCTCTCTCATTCCTGAACATTATTGTTGAGATGGTCAAGTATTTTGTTATTTGAATAAACATATGTAGACTCTTGATATCACTTGGGATTTTGCATTGTTTAGCTTCTTTATTTTCATGTCTTCCTGGCAGTCTTGCTGGAATGGAGTTGGTGGTGTTGATGTTTGTCAAGGATTAGAAAGTCTAGGCCACTCACATCTTCCCGCAAGGTCAGTCTGTTTAGCTTGGAGTTGTTCTGCTGCTTTATTTGCTACTCTTCACCCTGGGTTTCAGTACCTGAGCTCTGTTTCCATCACTGCGAGGGTAAAGCTTTCTCCTACCCTCCTGGTACCTTTTCACTCCTCGCCCTGGTGTACCTTTGCCTCAACTGATCTGGAATCAGACTTCAGGAATTTAGTCATGTTGGGCACTTTTTAAAAAATGATACCATCCTGTATTTCTTTTTGTGTTCAGTTTTTTGGGGTTCTGTGTTTATGGTGCTAATGATGTTAAACTAATGCTCAGAGGAATTCTGAAGCACAGTTATTCACAAAGTTGTACAACCATCACCATTATCTAAGTCCAGAACAGTTTCATCACACCCGGAGAAAACCCTGAATCCATTATCAATCCTTTCCCACTTTCTGCATCCATGGATTTACTTATTCTGAACTTTCATATAAGTGGAATCATATATGTGGCCTTTTATGTCAATTATGACATAATATATGCATAATATTGTTAGTCATTACTGTATGACTTTTACCTAGGAAGTGAAAATTCTTTGGAGAGAGAGAGAGAGGAAAAAATACTGATAAATGATGGTTATAGTTAAGTAATCATGTGTGGAAATGAACTTGTATTTTAGAAACTCGGGGCCGGGCGCGGTGGCTCACACCTGTAATCCCAGCACTTTGAGAGGCCAAGGCGGGCAGATCACGAGGTCAGGAGATCTAGACCATCCTGGCTAACACAGAGAAACCCTGTCTCTACTAAAAATACAAAAAAATTAGCCGGGCGTGGTAGTGGTTGCCTGTAGTCCCAGCTATTCGGGAGGCTGAGGCAGGAGAATGGCATGAACCCGGAAGGCAGAGCTTGCAGTGACCCCAGATCCTGCCACTGCACTCCAGCATGGGTGACAGAGCGAGACTCCGTCTCAAAAAAAAAAAAAAAAAAGAAACTGGGAAATATTTAATAGGAACTGCGGAATGGTCAAGGCTTGTGTTGGATAGAAGTGCCCTATGTGTGACTGGCTGTTAGTCACCAGCACTTTTCTGCAGTGCTGTGTCATGCAGGTTCCTGTTCCCAGCCCTTCTGGAGTTTCACCAATGCCGGTGCTAATTGGTTGTTTAAAATTCGATGTAGAACTCTAAATGAATAAATCCTGACTGAACAGATTCCCTCCATTTCTACCTTAGCTTTTACTGGGCAAAATCCTCCAGGAGTTAGCAGTGAGCAGGAAAAGGACCAGGGTTTTGCTCTCTGGTAACTAAAGGGGGAATTATCCTCCAGAGCAGTTGATTCTCTTGCAAGGGCAGAGAAGCAAAGTATCTGTAGAACCACAGTACCTTGACAGCACTTTAAAAACCCTATTTCCAAGTGCATTTCTGTGAAAACAAGGTTATCTTTAAGAAAAAGATTACTACCTTTATTTGCACTTTTCATTAGAACTGAAAAGTTAGAATTGTTTTATATATTCTCAGTACTATCCCATTCTCTTTTATGGCTGGATTTTTTAAATGGAAAAATCAAGCTTAAATGAGTTTTGGCCTAGTTTTTATAGGACTAAAGGATAGTTGAAAAACAAGTTTCTCTGGTAACTTTCATTATAAATATCTTAGTAATATTTTAAAATTTATTAGGGGCAAAACTCATTTTGGTTTAAACATTTAAAATACTTCTTTGGTGGGGGGAGAAAGGAGACACAGCATTAAAGATCTGCACCTACAAATTAGAATTTCTGGTTTTCGTGTAATTCTGTGTGGAAGCAGTAATAGAATATCAAACTTTTCACCTCTTGGACCTTTCAGTTAAAGGTCAGATTTGAACTGGACCTCTTGTCACCCAGAGGTGACCGATAGAAAAGGAGTTGTTCTGCTTAGATGTTTGGTTAATTTGGATTTATCTGATTGTTTTCCTTAGCATGAATTGTATTGAAGATCAGGAGGAGCTGTCACAGGTTGATTGTGACCTTTTAGGATGTAATTAGGGCACTCAGGTTTTATAGTGGTTTTGGCAGTTGCTCTTGTGACCAGATTTATTGGTTTAAAAGACAGTGCATGGCACACAGTACAGAATCAAGGAATGGCATCTGTCCTGTGAAACAAATCTAGCTGACACCCCTCTCAGAAGCCGCATCTTATAGCTTCTTATGGCAGGAATTTCACACAGCCTTTTGAGGTCTCTGCTGCTGTTGTTGAGGAGATGAAAGAAGAGCCCGTGCATCCCCAGATCTGGTCAGCCCGGCCACCGTTTCACTGAGTGTCTGGCACTGGACTAGACACTAGAGTGAAGAAAGAATATGATGACAAGCCCAGGCAAGCCCACTGAAGATTGCTGGCAGAGAGCTTGGCACAGTAACTTTTTTTCATCCCTTTTTCTTTAATGTAAAGGATACTATCATTTGTTATAATCACTTTCTTAAGATAGTTAATTTACAGGAGAAATGAGCACCACCCCCAGCCCAAAAAAATGCATATAACTCAGAGCTGCCAAGAGGAAGCCTCATGTGGTCAGCGTTCTTAAGGAGACCCTCTGCTGCCTGGATCTCCAGCCAGCAGCTGCCCTGCAGGGCTCTGGAAGTGGGCTATTCTGTGTGGTCTAAGGCCTACCTACGTTTCTAAAACATGTATATACATGCTTATTGCCACAGGGAAGGCAATGTAAAAATATTTAAAGGCACAATTTCCCTGGCCCCTCCACCCTTCTCCAATCTCATTCTCAGGATAATTGACCCCTGGTGTGCATCCTTCTAGCCCTTTCTCTGTATTCATATAAGCATAGGCCCTTGTTTGTATAAAGGTAGCTTTTGTTCTTCTTTTTTAAATGGAAACATTGATTGGGTCCTGATTCTAACACATCAACTGCAAAATAACTTTTAGACCATATGAAAAAATTGACCTGGGGCTGGGTGCAATGTCATTTGTAGAGGTACAAACTAAGTCATTTATGGATGAAATGATACAATGCTTTAAAGAGCTCCCTCAACAAACAACATGAAAGTATGTTGAAGGGGAGAGGCAGCTAAAACAAGACACAGAATGTTGAAGCTGGGTGATGGGAACTTGGAGGTTCCTTATGCTAGTCTCTCTTATGTATGTTTAAGATTTCCATAATAAATAAAAAAAAAAATAGTCATCCGGAGTATAGCATAGAGCAAGGGTCTGGTTTTGAATCCCACCTCTTTCACTTAATAGCTGTGATTTTTGACAAGCTATTGAATCTCTGATAATCCTACCCTTGTTAATAAACCATTTGGCATTTTAGAATACTTCCTTCTAGGAACTTTTTCTGTACATCTGTCTGTTCATACCTATCTGCCTATTTATTTATTCGTATGTCTTTCTATTTCGCTAATTTGTTGTAAGTATTCTCTTGGTTTCGCATGTTTTTCATAATGTTTCACTGGCTGCATAGTTTCCTTGACTGAACCTTTACATTTTACTGGATGTTTTGGTGGATGTTTCCGTTTTTTCCCCGTCTTGCTGTAATACATTTTTGCAGTTATGGGAATCTTCATGCCTAATAGCAATCCCCATGGTTTGAATTATTTTAGTCATTGTTCACTTTTCAAGAATACATTTTGAGTCAAACTGTGGAAGCATGTCTAAGGCTTTGACACGTGGCCGAATTATTTTTCAGAGTATTGGAACAGTTGTGCTGCTGCCAGCGATCCGTGGGAGCTGTGTACAGATTCAGCCGACAACTATGAGCCTTCGAGATCATCTTAAATATCTTGTGTTGTTAATAGGCCAGCGGTGGAACCTCTTTTAGTTGATGTTTCTCTGAGGTTGGGTTTTGTCTTTATGTTCGTTGGTTGGTTGCATCTCCTCTCTTGTGAACTGTAAGCTTATACCTTCTCAATTTTTTTTTGAAGCTCTTGGTGTTTTCTGGATTGATTTTTGTGAGCTGTTTATATAATAAAGTTATTTGTATTTTGACATTTTGAATATATTTGCAGACTTCCTGTTTGGCTTTCAAATTTCTTATCTTTTATTTATTAACTTATAGAAGATGTATATTTCTTTATGGCTAGGAACTTAGTGTGTTCACCGTTGTGATTTTTCTGTCAAGTCCAAATGTTGTCCTTCCACCCCAACAGCTGTAATATACACTTACTTTATGTTCTTCTAGTTTTTTTAATATACATATAATTAAAATTATATGTATATTTGACTTTTTACATCACCAGGAATTCTTTAACTCTATAGATGTTTGAAGTTATGTAAGCAAGAACATTATGCTTTTGGAGTGTAACTGAAACATTTCTGGGATTGGAGTTAATATGCTAAAAATTAAGAGGCAAGAAAATAAAGCAGTAGTTTGTTTAGAATAAAATTCAGCTTAATCTTTGGCTGTCCTGACTACGGCCCATCATCAGTGTTTGGAATTTTCCCACCGTGTTATGTAGTGCAGTGCTGTGGCTTTAAAGAAGCACTTCCCCCTGTTGCCCTGGAGCCCCATGCCCTGGTTCTGGGAGGTAATCACGATTGTGTACTGTTACTATATTGTGTCAGCCCTCTCTGCCTGCTGCTTTCATCTTTCTTAAGTTATGCAGCACAAATCTTAGAATGTTTCTCTATTTTTTCTAATTAAAATACTTTCTATCCTAAAACAATTGAGGACCATTCTCCTAGAAGGTTGCTCACCCAGTCTCTGGCGTGTCAGCGCAGCTAATGACGCACCTGGCCCACGAATTCACTTACAGTTGGTTTTTGATGCATGAATGGTAGCAATACTAGGTTACTTTTATTTTGGCCTTTAAAGTTTGCAGAGATCTTTGGTACACATGATTCCATTTAATCCTTACAGGATTCCTGTGACATTAGTTATTATTCCTATTTTAAGATGAGAAAACTGATAGAAATTAAAGGGACCTGAATAAATCATATAGTTAGGATTTGAATTTCTGCCTTCTGACTCTTGGTTAAGTGTCTTTTCTCCCTCTCCATGGCTGAACAAGTTGATTTGTCTGGCAAAAGTGTGCTGTTAATGACACCAGTGTTCTTTACCCCATATTGGTCAATCCACTTTGCACTGATTAAAAACTGTTGGTCATGTCCTTCGTGCCAGTTAGCATCTCTCATTGCGTGCTCACGGTCACACTGAAGAACTGGTCAGGGAGGGAGGCACTTTGGGGAAAACAGTTCTTTTGGGGGACCCTTTTCATATGTGAGTGACAACGTGAAGAGTGTGTGTGTGTGTGTGTGTGTGTGTGTGTGAGAGATTATAAGCACAGCCCCTGATGCAAACTGCCTAGGTGTGATTCCTGCTGTGATAGTTATTGGTTGTGGAGTATTGGACAAAGTATTTAATGAGCCATCCTCATAGGAGAGTTCTGAGGATTAAAAGTTATTGCATGGCAAGAACATAGAAAAGTACTTGGATAAGGCTGGGCGCAGTGGCTCATGCCTGTAATCCCAGCACTTTGGGAGGCCGAGGCAAGCGGATCACAAGGTCAGGAATTTTAGACCAGCCCGACCAACATGGTGAAACCCCATCTCTACTAAAAATACAAAAATTAGTCAGGCATGGTGGTGCACGCCTGTTATCCCAGCTACTCAGGAGGCTGAGGCAGGAGAATCGCTTGAACCCAGGAGGCAGACTCCATCTCAAAAAAAAATTAAGTACCTGGATAAAATAAGTCATCAATGTTTGCTTAATATCTAAGATATATTATCTGTTGATTGATGGCTAGTTGTGTCCTAATGTAATTGGTATTGTTTCTGATTTTATATTGAAAAATATTTTAAATAAAGGCAAGAGCCATGTTTATTCCTACATATACCACCTCAAATGCTAACTGTGCACTAAACACAAAAACTTCAACCCACTAATGAAGGGGTCAAAATCCCTATAAAGTGTAATATGGGAAACCACAGAGTCGCCAGGGGAACCTGTCCTTTCCGTAATGTTGAAGAGTATGGGGAACCGCAGAGTCTCCAGAGGAACCTGTCCTTTCCGTAATGCTGAAGAGTATGGGGAACCGCAGTCTCCAGAGAAAGCTGTCCTTTCCGTAATGTTGAAGAGTATGGGAAACCGCAGTCTCCAGAGAAAGCTGTCCTTTCCGTAATGTTGAAGAGTATGGGGAACCGCAGAGTCTCCAGAGAAAGCTGTCCTTTCCGTAATGTTGAAGAGTATGGGGAACCGCAGTCTCCAGAGAAAGCTGTCCTTTCCGTAATGTTGAAGAGTATGGGGAACCGCAGAGTCTTCAGAGGAACCTGTCCTTTCTGTAATGTTGAAGAGTATGGGGAACCGCAGTCTCCAGAGGAACCTGTCCTTTCCGTAATGTTGAAGAGTATGGGGAACCGCAGAGTCACCAGAGGAACCTGTCCTTTCCGTAATGTTGAAGAGTATGGGGAACCGCAGAGTCTCCCGAGGAACCTGTCCTTTCCGTAATGCTGAAGAGTATGGGAAACCACAGTCTCCAGAGGAACCTGTCCTTTCCGTAATGTTGAAGAGTATGGGGAACCGCAGAGTCACCAGAGGAACCTATCCTTTCCGTAATGTTGAAGAGTATGGGGAACCGCAGAGTCACCAGAGGAACCTGTCCTTTCCGTAATGTTGAAGAGTATGGGGAACCGCAGAGTCTCCAGAGGAACCTGTCCTTTCCGTAATGTTGAAGAGTATGGGGAACCGCAGAGTCACCAGAGGAACCTGTCCTTTCCGTAATGTTGAAGAGTATGGGGAACCGCAGAGTCACCAGAGGAACCTGTCCTTTCCGTAATGTTGAAGAGTATGGGGAACCGCAGAGTCACCAGAGGAACCTGTCCTTTCCGTAATGTTGAAGAGTATGGGGAACCGCAGAGTCACCAGAGGAACCTGTCCTTTCCGTAATGTTGAAGAGTATGGGGAACCGCAGAGTCTCCAGAGGAACCTGTCCTTTCCGTAATGTTGAAGAGTATGGGGAACCGCAGTCTCCAGAGGAACCTGTCCTTTCCGTAATGTTGAAGAGTATGGGGAACCGCAGTCTCCAGAGGAACCTGTCCTTTCCGTAATGTTGAAGAGTATGGGGAACCTCAGAGTCTCCAGAGGAACCTGTCCTTTCCGTAATGTTGAAGAGTATGGGGAACCGCAGTCGCCAGAGGAACCTGTCCTTTCTGTAATGCTGAAGAGTATGGGGAACCGCAGTTGCCAGAGGAGGCTGTCCTTTCCGTAATGTTGAAGAGTATGGGGAACCTCAGAGTCTCCAGAGGAACCTGTCCTTTCTGTAATGTTGAAGAGTATGGGAAACCGCAGTCTCCAGAGGAAACTGTCCTTTCCGTAATGTTGAAGAGTATGGGGAACCGCAGTCTCCAGAGAAAGCTGTCCTTTCCGTAATGTTGAAGAGTATGGGGAACCTCAGAGTCTCCAGAGGAACCTATCCTTTCTGTAATGTTGAAGAGTATGGGAAACCGCAGTCTCCAGAGGAAACTGTCCTTTCCGTAATGTTGAAGAGTATGGGGAACCGCAGTCTCCAGAGGAACCTGTCCTTTCCGTAATGTTGAAGAGTATGGGGAACTGCAGTCGCCAGAGGAACCTGTCCTTTCTGTAATGCTGAAGAGTATGGGGAACCGCAGTTGCCAGAGGAGGCTGTCCTTTCCGTAATGTTGAAGAGTATGGGGAACCTCAGAGTCTCCAGAGGAACCTGTCCTTTCTGTAATGTTGAAGAGGTTTAAAGCAATGGGTTGATGGGGCGCCCATTTCTTTTAGAATGGAGAACACGTCTCTTCATGTACTCCTGCATGTCTGCGCACTATCACTGACCTTCCTTGATCATTTGAATAAATGAAAAAGAAAAGCAAAAAACAATGCTATTACCATGGCCAGTTCCCCCTAAAGTACTTAAAGGAGTTGAGAATTTCTAAATGTTTTTTGCTTTCTTTCCTCCACCCCCAGCCTGAGAGTCTCTTTTTTGGTGAAGAGCGAGAATTAGTATTGAGTCACAGTGGCTCAGAAAGGTTGAAAAGGGAAGACTTTTAAAATGTAGGTTTTATTATCAACAAGCAGGATAAGATTGTTGTTGAAAATTGTGTTACTCACAGTTCCAAGAGGGTGGGCAAGCCGCACCACACAGGAAGCACTGGGGGTAGGTCAGGAGGCAGAGGGAGCCAGGGAAAGCATGGGCCAGACCCTTTGTTATGGTTTTCCCGGGAAGGAATGGCTAGGCAGGGTAGGCAAGCTGAGCAAGTTTAGGATTGGATCATCTGAATAATTTTTTGGAGGGCTCTGGGCTGTAGGAGTGGTCCCTAGTTGGCTGGCACCTGGGGTATGTAGGGCTGGGGGCAGTGTCCCTGATTGGAGGAGCCTAATTGAAGGGTATTCAGACCAGGCAAGTAGTTTGTGACCTCTAGGAATTAGCCAGTTCTCAGAGGGGCAGTCCCTTCCCTGGTCCACAGGCTCCAAAATGTCAAAGCATCATAAAGCACTGACAACAAACAAACAAACAAACAAACAAACAAACATGGTTAATACAAGGGCCAGGACTTTTTGTACCACAGCTTTAGGATTTAGTAGCAGAGAGGAGAAAAGATCAGTACAGTAGTGTTTCTTATTGCCAAGGAGAAGAGGCATAAATTTGACCTAGAAAAGAGTATGAGAAAAAGCCTTTACAATAGCTTACTCATTTCTCCCAGCAATTTTTGAAATTATTGTGTTTTGCACATTTTCTTTGTTTCCAACATAGCTTACCCTCATTATTACTGCAAGGCTTTGAGAAGTGTTCACAGTTCATATTTAGTACAAGGTAATTTTTTTTTAACAGGGTACATGAACTTTTTTGAGGAAACATGATCCAAATGCTAGCTAGCTGAAAGAGTAAATAAATAAGTCACTTCCAAGGCTAAACAAATTCTGTCTTTATTTTTTTTTATAGAATTATTGAGGGAAAGGAAGTAATCATGTCAGCAGTCTTCATCATTCATTTGGAACCAACACTTGTTCTGTAATTATCATGGCAATAAAAAACTCATTTTGGCCTTATGTATTTTGGTATAATGATTCAAATTTGGCTAATTGCATGAGAATTATGATCAAGTTGGTATTTTTGCTTAATTTCTAGCTCAGAGTTTGTTAGTTTTGTTATTCTTTGAACCAAGCATCGTAATATAAAATTTGATTGAAAGTGTTGGTAGTTCTCAATTTCTCATTTTTGGATTATTAGGGGTTTGGAGAGTTTTCAGTCATAACTCGCTTAATTGCAGTTCGCTTTATTGTGCCTTGTAGATACTGCATTTCACAGATAATACTTTTTTTAAAAAAAGCAAAATGAAGGTTTGTGGTAACCCTGTATTAAGCAAGTGTCTCAGCATCATTTTTCCAACAGCATGTGCTCACTTCATGTCTCTGCGTCACATTTTGGTATTTCTTGCAATATTTCATACTTTTTAATTATTATATTTTTAAGTTCATTTGTGTTTCATATTGGGAAGGCAAATACAGATGAGAGAGATCCCTGCCAAAATAGTAAAAAGTTATATATTTTTTGAGTTTTGAAGTGTAAATCTGCTTTGTTTGGAGGTTTCCTCTAGGCAGAACCCCTCCTTGCCGATGGCATCTAGTAAATGAGGCCTTGGTGCATTATGCTGTACTTCTGAAAACATAGATCTCAAAATCTGTACTGTTAGAAACGTTTTCGCTCCTCCTCACCCTAACGAATCTGTTATTCCAAGAAATAGAAATCTTTTCTGTTTCCAGATAGTTTAAAAATTGCACTTTATATTTCTGAATAAATAAAATATATGACTATACACTGCTGCAGTTTCATAGCTTAACTTCTGTTAAGCCAAATACTGTTGAGGCTTAAGTGGTACTAATTTAATGGAACACTAACCAGTGCAAATAAAAGACAATTGTATTGTTATCTTTTTTCTTAGATAAATGTGAATTTTTTTTTTTTTTTTTTTTTTTTTTTTTTTTTTTTTTTGGCTATGGAGTCTCACTTTTGTCACCCAGGCTGGAGTGCAATGGCGCGATCTTGCCTCTGCAACCCAGATTCAAGTGATTCTCCTGCCTCAGCCTCATGAGTAGCCGGTATCCCAGGTGCCCGCCACCACGCCCAGCTAATTTTTTTGTATTTTTAGTAGAGATGGGGTTTCACCATGTTGGCCAGGGTGGTCTCAAACTACTGACCTCAAGTGATCTGCCCGCCTTGGCCTCCCAAAGTGCTGGGATTACAGGGCTGAGCCACCGCGCCCAGTCATGAATTTTAAAACAGAGTCTACAAACTTAATGAAATTTACCTTATCGTTTAGATCACATACACTAAAGCTCTGAGTAAATTGTAAAATGTACTTTAATTTTATAAGAATGCAACTTACTTATGTAAATATTGAAAACAAAGCTCTTGCAGTTTCTGGTCAGAGATGTAGGAGCTTGGAAGTCACCACTCGAATCCTCACAATAAGGAAAAAGCTAAACAGACTGAAAATCAGCAACTTCCCTTATATCCCTCAGAAAATTGAGGCCACAGGATAAGGAAAAAGCTAAACAAACTGAAAATCAACAACTTTCCTTATATCCCTCAGAAAATTGAGGCCACAGGGTAAACCACTGTCCCCTAAATGGGAGAGACAACAGGCAGATACAGAGCATCCCAACTTCTTAGTGCAGAAGCCTAGGAATGGAAGTTTCTGTGGGAAACCAGTATTGAGTTGCTTTAACCAATACAGCATATCCAGCTTTGAACAAAAAATTACACGGCAGAAATGAAAGACAAAAACCACATTTTGAAGAAACAGAGCAAGCATTAGAACCAGATTCAGGTATGGTGGAGGATGTTAGAATGATCAAACCAGCAATTTAAAACAACTATGATTATATGCTAAGGGTCCTAATGGGAAAAGTGGGGAACATGCAGCAGATAAGTAATGTGCACAGAGAGATGGAAACTTTAAGAAGGAATGAAAAAGAAATGGTAGAAATAACACTAACAGAAGAGAAGAGTGCCATTGATGAGCACATCAGTAGGCCAGACATAGCTGAGGAAAGAATCAGTGAACTGGAAGAAACATCAATAGAGTCTTCAGAAACTATAATAGAGAAAAAAGGTGGAAGAAAATGGAATGGAACAGCCAAGAATTGTGGGACAGTTACACAAAGTATAATGTATGTATAGTGGGAACCAAGAAGGGGAAGGAAAAAAATAACAGAAGAAATATTTGCCGTAATAATGGCTGAGAGTTTTTTGTAATTAATGATAGTCCCAGATCTGGAAAGCTCAGAGAACAGTAGGCAAGCAAGTACCAAAAAATAAATAAATAAATAAAAAATAAAAAATCTACACTTAGCATATTGTATTCAAACTGTAGAAAAATATAAAAAATACTGAAGGATACTGAAGGAAGCTGGGGTTGGGGATGAGATGGACACCTTACATAAGGGAGACAAGAATGGAAATTACATCAGACTTTTTTTCAGCAACCATGCAAACAAGTAAGGAAAAAAGACCCACCTACATAGAATTCCGTATCCAGTGAAATTATCCTTCAAACGTGAAGGAGAAATAAACTTTTTCCAGACGAAATTGAGGGGATTTATTGCCATTAGATTTGCCTTAACTATTAAAAGAAGTTAAAATGTTAAAAGTTGTTCTTTAGGGAGAAGCAAAATGATATAGGTCAAATACTTGGATCTGAAAAATTCAAGGATGAATTTTAGAGAAGGAATAAATGCAGTGGCTTCTGGGTTCCCTCCCCTCAGGTCCTGGCATCTGGCACCATGCCCAGCACCTACACCCCACATTCATGCTGAATGATACGGATGTGGAATGTAATGAATTGTTGGCTTAAAAAACAAATAGTTTTTCTTTTTTTGTTTTTTTTTGTTGTTGTTGTTGTTGTTTTGAGACAGTCTCACTCTGTCACCCAGGCTCGGCTCACTGCAATCTCCACCTCCCAGGTTCAAGTGATCCTCCTGCCTCAGCCTCCCAGGTAGCTGGGACTACAGGAGTGCATCACCAAGCCTGGCTAGTTTTTGTACTTTTAGTAGAGACGGGATTTTGCCATGTTGGCCAGACTGGTCTCTAACTCCTGACCTCAAGTGATTTGCCTGCCTTAGCCTCGCGAAGTGTTGGGATTACAGGCGTGAGCCACCATGCCCAGCCTTAATTTTTTTTTTTTTTTTTTTTTTGAGATGGAGTCTCATGATGTTACCCAGGCTGGTCTTGAACTCCTGGGCTTAGGTGGTCCTTCTGCCTCAGCCTCCTAAGTAGCTGGGACTACAGGTGTGCACCACTGTGCCTGGCTGAAAAAGACTTACTTTCTTGACCTACAGTTGCAACTTCTACATTTAAAGCTACCCCAATGGGCTCATGGAAGAGAGGAATTTATTCCAGAGACTTGGCAAAACTCTAAATAAGAAATGAAAATATGTCTTTCTCTCAGCTCTATAGATGTTAATAATTACCTTATTGTGTCTTATGCAACAGAACATTTTCTTATGTGATGCGAGTTGTGGCATCATTTTTGAGACCAATCATTCAGAGATTAAAGAGAAAGGAATTGAATATTTTCAGTGTAGACACTATGAGTTTTTAAAAGTCAAAAATTATTACAGATTTTCAGACTGGAAATGAAAGGTCACTGAAGCATTCTGTGGATTTAATTTGCCATATTGAAAAGTATTGATCACTTTAACCTATGTGAACAGAAAGCTGTTTGAAGTCCTCCTTCCCTTTTTTTTTTTTAAATTAAAAAAAGTAAAGAGTTCTTCAGACCAAAAATGAGAAAACCACAGTGGATTATCCTCAGCTGTGATTGGTCCATTTCTTGCTGTGACCTCAGTAGGAGTCATTATTGTAAAATGCCAAACACTTATTTTCGTCCCTGGCTCTGCCTAAATTTTTGGCCCAAGGCAGAATCCAACAGATAGTACTGCCACCAGAAGGGGATCCTGCACAGGGACATACAGCCAAAGAACCTGCTTGTGTGGATGCTGAACTGAACCTCACGTTTGCAGACTTTGGCTTTAGCAACGAGCTCACCTTTGGCAGCAGGGTAGATAACTTCTGTGTCAGTGCTTCTTACACTGTCCTGGAACTCTTCTAGGCAACGTACGCAAAAGTACGATGGCTCTGAGATGGATGTTGGCAGCCTGGGAGTCATTCTCTGTGCAGTGGTCGGTGATCATCAGGTTTCTGTCTTACAATGGACAGAACTATAGCAGAGCTTCCAAAGTAGGTATATATCACATTCCCTTTACATGTCTATGGAGTATGAACACCTAAATAAATTCCTGCTCCCAAACCCCAGTAAGAGAGGCACTGCAGAGGAAATCATGAGGGACCCATGGATAAATGTGGGCTATGAAGAGGAACTAAAACTACATCCAGCCACTCCCTGACTCCAGGGATCCCTGGCACACTGAGTTAATGCTGTCCTTGGGCTACATGTAAGGGAAATTCTGGACTCATTGATGGGCTACAGGACACCTCAGCTGGAGGGCCACACCATCACTGTGAAGTCCTTTCCTTAGCTGATCCCACCAACTGTTGCCATCCTTCTCCATCCTTCCAGGTACAGCCTAGGGTCTCTGCCAGCCCAAAGCAGCGAGCCTGCTCTTCCCACATTTTCTTTTTCCTCTAATAGAAAATCAGTGGCTTGAGGAGGATCAGGAGTCAGGTTGAAAGGCCAGCAGAACAGTCAAAGTGCCTGCCAGTCTTCTGCCTCACCTTGAGATGAAGACTGGCCCAGCAAAGCCTCCAGCATGGCCTTGTGGCCTCCCCCTCCACCCACAGCACCAGCAGCAGTGGTGGAACCCCAGACAGAATCAACTGTTCCTAGGGTGTGTCCTCCAAAGGAGAACTCCCTTCATACTGTGCAGCTTTGGTTAGGACCGGCAGAATTTGCCAGAATGTATAACCTCAGCCATTCCCTCTCGCAACATTCAGGGCTGGCAGGGGGCCACAGGAGGTTCCTTATCTTCATCCACAGACACCTGTGTTTCAGGTTGGCTGGGAAGATCTGGCATGTAGCTGGAATGTGGGGAGTTCAAGCTGTGCTCGCTGCATTTCACATGGAGCAGGAAGATCCTGAGCTCCATGGAGTCCAAGGACATGGTGCAGGAGATCAGCCGGGTGTGGGATGCAGACAGTTGCAGGTGGTAATACTTGTCCTCGAGGAGCAAACATACCAGTTGGAGGTTCATTCATAAGCGTTTATTCCGCACCTTCATGTGCCTAGCACCAAGTAAGTAAAAAAGAAATACAGTCAGCTCTCCATATCCATGGGTTCTGCATGGACAGATTCAACCAATCACAGATGGAAAATATTCAGAAAAAAACAATGCAGCAATAAAAAAACAACAAAAACAATACAGTTTGATAACTTACATTGTATTATGTATTATAAGTAATCTAGAGATGATTAGTAATCTAGAGTATGCTGGTGGATGTGTGTGGGTTATATGCAAATACTATGCAATTTTATGTAGGGAACCTGAGCATCCCCAGATTTTGGTATCCACAGAATGCCTTAGGACGAATTACTGGTAGATCCCAAGAGACCATAGTATCTCTACTTTTACTGGCTGAATGGTAGAGATAAGTATACATGGGGTACGATTAATCCAACCTGGGGCTGAGGGAGGTTAGGTTGTTGGAAGTGAGGTGAGGGAAGGTGTAGCTTCCCACAGAAAGTGATGACTGAATGGGTGAATGGTGGAAGTTAGTTGGCTAAGAAGCAGGTGGGATGGGTGTTGAGGGACCTAACGCTGAGTGTGACAGAACGCAGATTTCAGCAGTGAGCACAGGGCTGTGCAGGCAATGAGAACAGCACTTCTTTCACCTGGAAGGATAGGACAGAAGAATTAAGTTCTGGAATGCTGGAGGCCAACAGAGGGAGAAAGCATGCGTCACCCAGAAGACAGTGTGGGAGACAATGAGGGGACTGTAGGAGAGACATGATGGAGGCACAGCATGGCTGAGTATCTTCCTGGGCATGACTTAAAGCATTAATGCCTAAAAATTTTCCAAAATTAATAATAGGCAACTATCCATAGATCCTGGGAGCCCAGAGAACACGGAGCAAGACAAATACCAAAAAATCTACACTCAGACATATCCTATTCCAGTTGCAGAAAATCAAAAACCAATAGAAACTCTTGAAAGAAGCACCTTTCTATAGGGGAGCATAGATCAGAGTTATATGAGATGTCTCTTCAGAAACCATGCAAGGAAGAATAGAGTGGAGTGAAATAAAGTGCTGAAAGAAAAAAACCCAGTGTATTAGGGCTTTCCAGAGAAACAGAATCAACAGGATATGGACGGATGGATGGATGGATGGATGGATGGATGGATGGATGGATGGATGGATGGATGGGAGGGGATTTATTAGGGGAACTGGCTTACATGACTATGGAGGCTGAGAAGTCCCATGACAGGCGTCGGCAAGCCACAGAATCAGAGAAGCCAGTAGCATGGCTCAGTCTAAGTTTGAAGGCCTCAACCAGGGGAGCCCGCAGTGTATCTCTCAGTCTGAGGCCAAAGGCCTCAGAACCTGGGGGGCAGGGGTCACTGGTATAAGCCTGGGAATCCAAAGCTCAGAAGACCGTGGCATTCTGGTGATTCAAGAGCAGGAAAAGATGGGTGTCCCAGTTCCAAAAAGGAGAGAATTTGCCTTTTCTCTGCCTTTTTCTTTGATCAAGACCCTCAGCGGCTTTGTGGTGCCTGCTCACAATGGGTGACAACAGAGCTTTCTTACTTGGTCCACTGATTCAAATGCCAGTTACTTCCCCAAACACCCTCACAGACACACCCAGAAATAATGCTTTACCAGCTCAGCTGTCTGGGTATCTCTTCTTCCAGTCATCACACTTACCACTGTCAAATCCTGTATACAAATGAAATTACCCTTCAGAAGCGAATGAGAAATACTTTCTCAGATAAACAAAAGTTGAGGAAATTTGTTACCAGTAAACCTTCCTTGTAAGAAACACTAAAAGATATTCATCAAAAAACAACAGTGATAATGATGTAGATTAGAAACTCAGATCTACATGAAGAAAGGAGGAGCATTATAGATGAATGAAGGTAAAATACAGTTTTTAGTTTTTCTTATTAATTGATCTGACAGACAACTGTTTGTTCTGAAGAATAACAGCAACAAAACTTACGGTGATTATAGCTTATAGATAATTAAAATGAATGACACCAGTGTTGTAAGGGATGAGAAGAAGAAAGTGGGAATACTTTGTTATAAGGTACTTCCACTATCCATGAATGGGAAAGTGTTATTTGAGAGTGAACTTGGTTTAGTTGTAAATGCATATTGCAAACTCTAAGATAGCCACTGAAAAAAAAATTAAAAAAAAAAGAACATAATTGCCATGCTAAGAGAAGAGGGAAAATGGGACTTTTAAGGCAGTGAAAGTATTCAGTATGATACTGTAATGTTGGATACATGTAATGATAAGTTATACATTTGTCAAAACTCATAGAATGTACCACACAAAGAGCCCCAGTGTAAACTATGGAACTTACTTAATAGTATATCAGTATTGGCTCCTCAGTTGTAACAGCTGTGCCACACTAATGCAAGATGTTAATAACAGAGGAAACAGGAGGGAGTGGTAGTGAAGGGGTATATGGAAACTCTAATTTTGATTTAATTTTTCTGTAAACTTAATAAAACTGCTCAGAAAAAAAAGTTGTAAAGTGCCAAAACAAAACAGTAAAGCACCAAGTTTCCCAATTCTAAATAATAATGTTAATTTAATAGACCTAAATTTTCTGGAAATTTTCTGGAAGGGATGCTGACCAGTTTTTGAAATTCCTGTTGTAAACATAAGTAACATTTGAATCATTTGCTCAATTTTGCATCAGTATGACTGCCGTGGTGAAGATGCCTTTACATATTTTCCAATGGTTTTGACTTTTCCTCCTAGTTTTTGATATATTCCAGTCAATATGAGGAAAATACCAGTGCTGGAAACAAGAGAAGTGTCTTCTACATCTGAAAATTAAGGAGTTACAGCTAAAAATGTTTCATGTGAGAATGGAGAAAGGATGCTGACTTGCCATCACCTAACGGATTGGCACACTCTTTTTGTGAAGGGCAGTGTAGTAGTTTTTGGCCATGAGGTCTCAGTTGCTATTACTCAGCTCTACTCTTCTAGTGAGA